>NC_000010.11:1222121-1373636 GCF_000001405.40 Homo sapiens | reverse complement strand
CCCCTGCCATTTCCCACCCAGCTGATGTAGGTGTACACACAAATGCACACACACACATCCACACAAAGTATACATAATGCACACACACACGCATGCACACAGTCACACAGTCACACATGCACAATTACATGTGCACACACAGGCACATGCTCGGGCACACACTCGTACACGCACTGGTTATGTTACACACTCAGGCACTGTTTACCAGCTGGAGCCCTCCAGGGGTTGGTAAGAATCAGTTTCCAGTCTGAGTGAGTGACTCTGAGGAGCCTTTACCAACAAGACGCGCGTGTGTGTGTGTGTGGGTGGGTGTGTGTGTGTGTGTCAGAGACAGAAACAGGGGTAGAGACAGAGAGACACAGTGAGACAAAGACCGAGAGAGACACAGAGACAGAGAGAGACACGGAGACAGACAGAGAGTGGTACTCTCCTCCTCTGTTCTTTTTCTCAAGACTGCTTTGTCAAGTCGGGATCTGTTTTGATTCCATATGAACTTTAGGATTGTTTTTTCTAACTGTGAAAAATAACTGGCAATTTGACAGAGGGATGGCATTGAATCTGCTGAGTGTTTGGGGCAATATGGACATTTTAGTAATATTGATTCTTCTATTCCATGAGCATGGGATGGTTTTCCATTTGTTTGTGTCTCAATTTCTTTTCTCAGTGTTTTGTAGCTCTCCTTGTAGCTATCTTTCATCTCCTTGGTTAGATGCTAAACCTTTCTAAGAATCCTGACGTGCAGCTAACATAGCAAGTGTTCCCCGTCTGCCCTGGTGTAAGCATATGAGTTTCTTGCAGACCTACTCCCAGCTCTAATATACTATGAGTATGCAATTATGACCGGCAAGAATAATAATTATTTGGGATAATAAATTTCGGAGTGGACTAAAGGAATCACCAATTCTTATACTCTATTTTGAACTGTCTATTTGAATTGTTCCAAGTGCAAATAAATGCATTTTCCAAATCACATCATTTTTATAATGCAGGCCCTTCAAACCTCTTGATCCCAAATCCCTGGCACCACCCTGTGAGATGGGCCCCACACCTCCCTCTTCATGCCCTCAAAAGGTGTTGGCAGCTTACAGTGTCTTTCATGGTCACAATTAATGTGTTCTGAGGGCCTGCAACATTTGATAGGTCATTTCAAAACTTTTTTTTAATTTAATTTAATTTTATTTTAGGCTTAGGGATACATGTGCGTGTTTGTCCCGTGGGTATACTGCACCCTGGTGGGGATTGGGCTGCTAGTGTACCCATTACCCAAATAGTGAACATTGTACTGATAGCTGATTGTTCGAATCTTACCCATTCCTCCCTCCCCCTTCTCAAGTCCTCAGTGTCTGTTGTTTTCTTCTTTATGTCCATGTGTACCCATCGTTTAGCCCCCACTCATAAGTGAGAACATGCAGTATTTGCTTTTCTGTTTCTGAGTTAGTTCATTTAGGATAATGGCCTCCAGCTCCATTCATGTTGCTGCAAAGGACATAATTTTACCCTTTTTTATGGATACATGGTATTCCATGGTGTATATGTACTACATTTTCTTTATTCATCCACTGTTGATGGATATTTAGGTTGGTTACATGTCTTTGCTATTGTCAATAGTGCTGAGGTGAACATACACGTACAGGCGTCTTTTTTATGTAATGATTTTCTTTTCCTTTGGGTAGATGCCCAGCAGTAAAATTGCTGGGTCAAATGGTGGTTCTATTCTTAGTTCCTTAAGAAATCTCTGTACCGTTTTCCATAGAAGTGGAATTAGTTTACATTTCCACCAACAGTGCACAAGCATCCCCTTTTCTCTGCATCCACACAAACATGTTGGATTTTTTTTTTTTTTTTTTTTTTTACTTTTTAATAATAGCCATTCTGACTGGGGTAAGATGACATCTCAGTGTGATTTTAATTTGCATTTCCCCTGTGACGTTGAGCATTTTATCATATGTTTGTTGGCTGCTTATATTTTTTCTTTTGAGAAATGTCTGTTCATGCCCTTTGCCCAATTTTTTGTGGAGTTGTTTGGTTTTTTCTTGCTAAGTTATTTGAATTCCATGCAGATTCCGGATATTAGCCGTTTGTCAGAGGCATAATTTGCAAATATTTCATCCCATTTTGTAGGTTGTCTGTTTACTTTTTTATTTTACTTTATTTTATTTTTTGCTGTGCAGAAGCTTGTTAGTTTAATTAAGTCCACTTTGTCTGTTTCTGGATTTGTGCATTTCCTTTTGGGGCCTTCATCATAAATCTTTTGCCTAGGCCAATGTCCAGAAGTTTTTCCTAGGTTTTCTTGTAGGATTTTTATAGTTTCAGGTCCTATGTTTAAGTCTTTAATCCATCGTCGAATTAATTTTTGTATATGGTGAGAGATAGGGGTCCAGTTTCATTCTTCTGCATATGGATAGCCAATTTCCCAGCACCATTTACTGACTAGGATGTCCTTTCCCCATTGTTTATTTTTGTCAGCTTTGTTGAGGACCAGATGGCTGGAGACGGACCACTTTCTTTCCGGGTTCTCTGTTCCGTGGGTCTATGTGTCTATCTTCGTACCAATACCATCCTGTTCTTACTATAGACTTGTAGTATAATTTAAAGTCAGGCAATGTGATACATCTGGATCTGTTCTTTTTCTCAGGACTGCTTTAGCTATTCAGGGTCTGTTTTTGGTTTTATATGAACTTTAGGATTGTTTTTTCTAATTCTGTGAAAAATAATGTTGGAATTTGATAGAGATTGCATTGAATCTGCCGACTGCTTTAGGCAATGTGGACATTTTAACAACACTGATTCTTCCAATCCATGAGCATGGGATGGTTTTCCATTGGTTTGTGTCTACAATTTCTTTCATCAGTGTTTTGTAGCTCTCCTTGTAGCTATCTTCCATCTCCTTGGTTAAATGTATTCCTAGGTATTTTATTTTGTGTGTGTGGCTATTGTAAATGGGATTGAGTTCTTGATTTGTTTCTCAGCTTAAACATTATTGATGTATAGAAATGCTACTAATTTTTATACATTGATTTTGTATCCTGAAACTTTACTGAAGCCATTTATCAAGTCTAGGAGTCTTTTAGAGGAGTCTTTAGGGTTTCCTAGGTATACACACATTTATGTCATCAGGGAACAGAGATAGTTTCACTTCCTCTTTTCCAATTTGGATGTCTTTTATTTCTTTCTCTTGCCTGATTTCTCTGGTTAGGACTTCCAGTACTATTTTAAGTAGAAGTAGTGAGAGTGGACATCATCTTGTTCCAGTCCTTAGGGAAATGCTTTCAACTTTTCCCCATTAAGTGTGACGTTGGCTGTGGGTTTGTCATAGATGGCTTTTATTATTTTGAGGTATGTGTCTACAATGCCTAGTTTGTTGACAGTTTTTATCATGAAGGGATGTTGGATTTTATCAAATGCCTTTTATACATCTGTCGAGATGACCCTATGTTTTTTGTTTTTAGTTCTGTTTGTGTGGTAAATCACATTTATGGATTTGTAGATGCGGATTCATCCTTGCATCTCTAGAATAAAACCCCCTTGATCATGATGAATTATCTTTTTGATGTGTTGCTGAAATCACGCATTCTGAGTGTCTGCAACATTTGACAGAGAATGCTAAAACTGTTACACGCACTGTCTCCATTGATCTAACAAGGCCCATGTGGTAGGTTCCATTTGTGAACCGCGTGATGGGCCAGGTCACACTGCCAGCACCCAGCCACTGGAATCCACCTCTGTGCCCCAGAGACAACGAGTCCATTCACCAATCTGTGCCTCGAGCTTTGGAGACAGCTTCCTGAGAGAAGACAGGGACAAAGTACAAAAAGTGGGAGCCAGGGAAAAGCTCAGTGTGCCTGCTCTAGGGATCAGAGACAGAGGGGATGACTCAGGAGGGGCGTGGCCATGCCCACCCTCTCGGAAAAAGGGCAGAGCTGCCATTGGTGGGCTAATCAGGCTTTGTGAGCCTAAGTCAGGCTGACTTTTTAAAATGTATTTTATTGTGTATATTTCAGGCGTACATCATGATGTTTCGTTACACTTACACTTAGTGAAGTAGTTACCACAGTCAAGCAAATGATCACCTGCACCTTCCACTGCCTTTTGTGTGGGTAACAGCCGCTATCATCTTCCCTGCTGGCCAGCGGGAACACCCAGACTTGGGGCGCACAGAGAAAGAGTGAGGGGTTTGGGACACAATCCAGGGGGTAACTTCCACAGGGCAGCATGAAGAGGGGAGGCCGATAGTCCCCCAGGTCCCCTCACCCCCAGGGTGTGGCCTATTGAGTAGAGACCCTGGTGAGTGCAGGAATTCGGATCTAAGACCCACCAAGCAGGTGCGTCAACAATAGCTTTCCATCAATAGCTTTCTACTTAGAGGCAGGTGTTTTCCTGGTCTCCTGATGTTTTATCTCTAGGTTTTTATATACGATGACTGAGTGTGAGAAACCTGTTGATTATATGGAGAAAAAAATGAGACCAATTTCCTGGGTCGGGGAGGGGAGTCTAACACATTTAATACCTTCCGTGTGGAAGGAAAAAAAGTTAATTTGTAAAGTCGGCGTTAAAGCTGTGAGTGGTTCACATGCAGTCACTACAGCAAGAGGCCGCCAGGGGCGGCACCTGGACGTGAGCTCCTCCATTTTCCAACAGCCTCAGAGCCCAGAGCGCCACTCCCCTAGGACCAGCTCCCACCCTCACCCAGCCCAGCCCCACGACTGCCACAGGACCACAGGGCAAGCTCGGCCCCCACCCTCACCCAGCCCGGCCCCACGACTGCCACAGGGCGAGCTCGGCTCCCACCCTCACCCAGCCCGGCCCCAGGACTGTCACAGGGTCATAGTGTCAAGGCTTCTCCCACTTGGGCCTGAGGGACCAAAGAGGCAAAGCCTGTTTTTCCCTTCGTATGCCTCAGGCACCTGCACTGTTACCTGACTCAGTAGGTTCTGGAAGGTTTTGTGAGAACGAATTCTTGCCTTGCCAACCAGAGAGAGAGAGGAGGCTTTGTTGTGTGTGGAAAAGCTAATGCTGCTCTCGGCCCTTCTGAGGGAGCAAAACTCCCTCAAAAACTCCTCTCAAGGAGGGAGACGCAACCCCAGCCACAGCTCGCGACTCGCAGACATGAGGCCCTGGAAACCCTTCTTTCAGGTTCCCTGGAATTCCTGCAAAGTGCACGGAGAAGCTCAGGGAAAAAGATGAGCAGGGAGAGAAGTAGGGCCCGGACAGAGAGAAGCAAGGTGGGCGAGATGCGGCTGAGAGGAGGATGAGAAGTGTCTGCCCCACCATTTCCCTGCTGTGTTTTCAAAATGCGTCCCATGTTCCCTCACGGCCGACTCTCACTCAGCCCATTGATGTGCTGCCTCCGTTTGTCCCTGTAAGAAACTTGTAAGGCAAATATTTTTTAAATCTTCATTTTCTGCCTTAAAAAATCAGTTGGCCAGACTGAGTGACTTGCCCAGGGTCACGTACCCCTGGACGATGGAGCAGAGCCCGAGTGTCCCCTGCGCCCCCGTTCCCCACAGCTCCATGCAGAGGCCACCGCTGGGCTGTGGCCTCTGTGCTGGGCTCCCACGTCAGGGAAATGGGAATCGGGGCCTGTGCAGAGGATTCCAAACCCTAATCAGGTGATATCACCCCCCAGAGGGCCCAGCTGGTGTGTCCAGGACAGGCCCCTGAAGTATGCTCTTATTATCAATTATTGATTATTATGAAAGAGGCTCTTATACCACAATCTGACATTCATGGTTTATACCATGGAAAACTTTAATTCTGAGAGTCGTAGGACATTGAGTCAGGAAGAGGCATTCAGCGCAGCTAGCGGCAAAGCGTTGCTGTGAGTTCTGATCTGAGATCCAGCAAAGGTCATGCAATAACGCCAGCCACTGTAATCACACTGACAGTCTCGTCCATCCCCACCTTGCGAGAAATCAATAAGAAATTACAGAGTACCAGGCAAATCTCTATGCAATCTGGTATGGGGTTGGGGGGTTGATCTTGTTGGGTTTTTTGCTCCATCTTTAAGTTCAATTTGGAAAATCCCATGGTTAATCTCATCTGCTTACCCTTGGCCTGAAACACACTCAACAGTAGAGCAGTGCTATATGTATACCCAAAGTGCATAATGATTAACAAAAGCATTTGCACTCAGCCCTTTCTCCTCAGAAGGTAACGGTTTCTGCCGCCATCAACTGTAAATGAATGTTGTGCACCTATAACTAATCAAGCTCTCAGATCCACATTTTGAACAAAATTACCTCCCCAAACCTAATACTTTTTTAGACATAATTGCCAGAGAAAACAACAGAGCCACCTCACAATTCAAAAAATTCAAATGAGAAATAGAGATTTTAGCAAACAGAGAGCACTTTCAAAGCAGAGCCCAGAGCCTTCGGCAGGAGAACCCAGGTGGTGGTGATAGCTGAGGCCAAGAGCCGGATGTTTTCACCCCGAGCTGAACGGGCAGGCAGCGCGCAACGTGAGAAGAACATTCTCCAATGTCAGGATACCTCGCAAAGGTGCCTGATTTTCAAGGGCATCTTTTGTGCCTATGAAATGTATGTTTTTATTATTCTCCAACAACGATGTCATAAGCTGAGGGGCGGGGAGCGTGGGGCTGGGCCAGCCAGGCCTCATTCCTGCTTGACTTTCGGGCCACATGGCCAGCAGATGCACGTGTCAACATCCAGCCGCACTCAACCTCTATTTCTAAGTTGTGGGTTAGCTGTAAAAATTGCCTCAAGTTTCCACTTGCTTAATGAGAAAAAACTCATCCACACCTGGCAGAAGAGCCTGTCCCCACGGACAAAGCCAATGAGTGAAGGGAAGCCTGTGTGTTCTTGCCTGGGACAGCTCACCATCCGGTCACACGTGGGGCAGCCTGTGGGCTCAGCTTCATCTTCCTCTTCCAGAGGGCCCAGAAAAGGGTGTTACTGTACATAGGCCAAGACAATGATGGAAGTAATCAGTTTCCATAAAATCACCTTTACAGCAACAACACAGACGAGGGTGATCCGATGCCTAGGACTGAACTGCACTGCGACCAACTAATAAACTCTGCAACCTCAGTAAAGGAACTTCCCCACTGAGAAAATCGGACATTAATACCCTCCCCAGGGCTGACTGGGGCAATGGGAAGCAGCAAAGTCCAGGTTCTGCATGAGCCAAGCCTCAGGGTGGGGCAAGGGCACAGCTCACTACCATAATTCTCAGAGTATTTTGTAGTAAACCCTCATGGAGCCTTCCAGAAGCACATTCACCAGCGAGGGTAGTATGGACCCAGCAGGTCGTGGGGCCATCCATGGCTGAGATTCCCTAATGGAACAGCTTTGCCAGAAAACAGTGGTCCAGGATGGTCAGTCCAGAAAAATTAAATCATCATCAAATGCATTCATCACCCCAGCTGGCAAATGATGATTTTGCTAAATGGACTTCAGAGCATTTTCTGCAAAAGAAATAAAGCACTGAAGTCACACGTGAAGTCACCCCCCAGCCCCTCATTGCACTTCCCTCCTACACTCTCCAGGGGAGACTGGACTGGATCTTTATTACCCACGCATCAGCAGCCTTGTCACAGACGCATGGCTGCATGAAGAATATAGAACGTCGGTGTTCTTATAATAATATCCTATCCTATGGGTTACTTTGCAAGTCAATTTTATTATCTGGCATCCTATTTCTTGAGATTCATCTACATTGAAGCATACAGACATAGTCCATTACATGCAACTGCTATATAGTATTCTGTAGTGTGATTATTTCACTGATGACTCATCATTCCTCTAACCATAGAAACTTGGGCATTTTCAAAGTTTTCAGTTTTGTGAAAGCATGCTGCAGTGCACACCTTTGTTCAGTTCTGCCTCTGTGTATGAAGGTTTCTCTAGGATGCATCTCCAGTGGCAGAATTGCTGAGTAAGGTGTGTGTTTCTTTATTCTTGCCCGAAGCTCCCAAAATGCTTTCCAAAGGAGCTGTGCTTGTGCTCCTGACCACCGACCTATGGTACCTACCTGAAAACACTGCGACATTACAGGTCTTTTTAAAGTGCTTGCCAGTCTGATGAAGGTGGTAAGACTCCCAGGGGCAGAAACCAAGCAAGTGGCCTGGGTTCCTGCAAGGGACCAGATTTTGACCCATCTTGGCCATCATCATGCCTTCTCCCTACATTTGATTTAAAGTGAGAGAGGAGTGACTCTTCCTTTCACTAAACACTTAGGGGCAACTGCAGGGTTATTCAGTGGCCTAATTTCAATATTGGGGCTTCTCAGGGAGGCCTGAGCAGAGGGAGAGAGATGAGGGAACGGCCGGTCCGTGGAGCGGTGGGAACACTCACAACAGTTCCTAAGTTTGCCGTCTTAAGTGGGTGCGATCCATGACACTCCAAGACAATCACCATAGTAACATCAAAGATCAGGCATCAGAGGGCACCATAACAGATATAATAATGGGAAAGTTTGAAATATTTTGAGAATTACCAAAATGTGGCCAGGCGCGGTGGCTCTCATCCGTAATCCCAGCACTTTGGGAGACGGAGGCAGGCAGATCACCTGAGGTCAGGAGTTCGAGACCAGCCTAGCCAACACGGTGAAATCCCATCTCTAAAAAAATACAAAAATTAGCCAGGCGTGGTGGTGGGTGCCTGTAATCCCAGCTACTCAGGAGGCTGAGGCAGAAGAATCGCTTGAATCTGGGAGGCGGAGGTTGCAGTGGGCCAAGATCGCGCCACTGCCCTCCAGCCTGGGCAACAGAGTGAGATTCCGTCGCAAAAAAAAAAAAAAAAAAATTACCAAAATGTGACACAGAGGCATAAGGTGAGCGCATGGTGTGGGATCAGTGGGCTGATAGAGTTGCTCAACTCAGGGTTGCCACAAACCTTGGATTAGTGAATAACACGATACCTGGGAAGCCGAACAAGGAGGCATGCCTGTACTTTAAATCATCTCTGGATGACGCATACTGCCTAATACAGTGTAAACGCTATGCAAATCATTGTTATACTGTATTGTTTAGGGACTAATAACAAGAAAAATGTCTGTACACGTTCCGTAGTGATTCATCCATTTTTTCCCGAATACTTTCTCTCCACAGTTAGTTGAATCCCTAGATGGGGAACTCAGGAATACAGAGGACCAACCGTATTTACTGAATAGGTGTGCCCCTTCTCCAGGAGAAAGGCCAGGGACTCACCCCAAGGCCGCAGTGCCTCACCTGGGCCAGCTCCTAGGGTTTCCTCCAGGGAGTTCTCAGGAGACACCACCTGTCTGCCTCTAGCTGTGAGTGAGGAAGTAGAGTTTGGGGGCCGGACCCCCTGACCCTCAGTATTGGGGGGGCATTGGGCACCGGGCCTGGAGGTCCCTGTAGCAGGTGGGAAGGGGGACACTAGACCACACCACCCCGGGAAAGGCCTCTCTGACCTTTGACATTGCCCAAAACTTGTACAAAGTCAGGGGCGCTTGTCTGTTTGTGAGACACAGCCTCACTTAAAACAGGAGCCAGCCCAGAAGACGACAGCTCCTAGCCACAGGCCCTCAGCAAGGGACCAAGGACGCTACTTCCCCGCATGGGCCATAGGCTCCCAGGGGCTCCCTCTCTCTGGCGGCCACAGTCATTTCTCAGGCCTGACCTGGGGGCGCGGGCGGCGAGGTCGCTGGGACGGGGACCCTCAGGGAGTGCCTGCTGTGCCCATCGACCTGCCGGCGCCCGCCCAGGCTCCTGACTGGTCTGTTCTCCCCTCCAGGTACCAGCAGCGCGGAGGTGAAGGAGAACCGCAACGTGGGCAACCTGGCCGCGCGGCCACCGCCCTCCGGGGACCGGGCCCGGGGCGGCGCGCCCGGCGCGAAGAGGAAGCGGCCGCTGGAGGAGGGGAATGGGGGCCACTTGTGCAAACTGCAGCTGGTCTGGAAGAAGCTGTCGTGGTCGGTGGCGCCCAAGAACGCGCTGGTGCAGCTGCACGAGCTGAGGCCGGGCCTGCAGTACCGGACAGTGTCGCAGACGGGCCCGGTGCATGCCCCGGTCTTCGCGGTAGCGGTGGAGGTGAACGGGCTCACGTTCGAGGGCACAGGCCCCACCAAGAAGAAGGCCAAGATGCGCGCGGCGGAGCTGGCACTCAGGTCCTTCGTGCAGTTCCCCAACGCCTGCCAGGCGCACCTGGCCATGGGCGGGGGCCCGGGCCCCGGCACGGACTTCACCTCCGACCAGGCCGATTTCCCCGACACGCTCTTCCAGGAGTTCGAGCCCCCGGCGCCGCGCCCCGGACTCGCGGGAGGCCGCCCCGGGGACGCCGCGCTTCTGTCCGCGGCCTACGGGCGACGGCGGCTGCTGTGCCGCGCGCTGGACCTGGTGGGCCCGACCCCCGCCACCCCCGCGGCCCCGGGCGAGCGCAACCCCGTGGTGCTGCTGAACCGCCTGCGCGCCGGGCTGCGCTACGTGTGTCTGGCAGAACCGGCCGAGCGGCGCGCGCGGAGCTTCGTGATGGCCGTGAGCGTGGACGGCAGGACGTTCGAGGGCTCGGGGCGCAGCAAGAAGCTGGCCCGGGGTCAGGCCGCGCAGGCCGCACTGCAGGAGCTGTTCGACATCCAGATGCCCGGCCACGCGCCCGGCAGGGCCAGGAGGACGCCAATGCCGCAGGTGAGGGGCGCGGCGGGTGCAGGGGGAACGGGCGGCGCTGGGGGCGCGGGGGAGACCCCGACCTTTCCCTGTTGGGAGTGGCGTCCAGGCTTCTCGGAGAAGGAGAGGCCGCGTGGAGCGGGAGGGGAAAGAATGTCTCCCGGCCTGGTGAGGTGATTGATGGGAGAACAGGTGCTGCCGGCGGTTTTGAGGGTGACAATGCGGCTGCCCGGGAGGAGACAGCGAGGCCGGGTGGGGAGCGGCCAGGGCGCCTCTGTCTGCAGGGGGAGGGACGGGTCCCCCGTGCCAGGTTTCGTCCGTGACTGGGTCTCCACGCGTAGGGTCGGATGGTCGTGCCGGGTAAAATTGGGGTCAAGTTTTCCACCAGGGAGGCGCCCTGTGCCTGGGAGCAGCCGGAGAGGCCGCCAGCCCGGCAGGATCCAGACGGGGTCCCTGGTCCAAGGGAGAATCGCGCTGGGAGGCCGAGGAGGCCGGAGCGAGAGTGGGGAGCTGGGCCTCACTCTGCCCGGCAGGACCCCTCCGGTTCCTTCCTGCGCAGCTGTGGGTCCGCCTTCTAACCTGCGATTACCTTCACTCACTCCAGACATGTTCTCAACTGTCTGGGCGTTACCGGTTGGAGGTGTCCAGGTTCTTGGCGCCTTGAGCAAAGAACTGGACAAAACCCACACAGCAAGGAAAGAACGAAGCAACAAAAGCAGATATTTCTGGGAAATGAAAGCACACTCCACGGGGTGGGAGCACCTGAGCACAGGGGCCCAAGAGCCCGTTACTGAAGTTTCTGGGGTTTAAATACCCTCTAGAGATTTCCATTGGTTACTCGGCGTAGGCCCTGTGTAAATGGAGAGGACATTTCCTGTCATCGCTGAAGTATTTCCATTTGATTCAGCTCTAGGAAGTCAGTGTGCACCGGCCTTATGTTCCTGCCTCCAGACCCTATTTTCCTGCCTCCTATCTGTCAGAAACTATTCTGATACCATTTTAAAACAATCTTATCCTGCCAAGTCTTGCAATGGCTGATTTATGCAAATTATCTTTTCTCTTATCATGTTCAGAATTATCTGTGGGCATCACTAATGTAGCAGATACAGAAAATTATCTTTATTCATTTTGGCATCAATCAAGGAAAGAAACATTTCACATAGTTAAAAAGCACTTAGCCCAGTGCGGGACTCGTCGTAAGTATGCAATAATTGTAAGTTATGGCTGTGATCGCTACCATTGTTACATCACAACACCTAGGACAGAATCTGTTATTTTGCCTGGGGAGATGATAAATCTCTTCACGAATGTAGGGTCCCACTCGAACCTCAGACACTGCTCAGGGAGACTGCAGGGTGACACAGACCACATGCGTCATGGCAGAGCCCTCATCTTGAATTGTGACTGGGTTCAAGTGCTCACTATTCACTTGTCAACCAATGCTTGTTGAACTCTTGGCCGGCGTGGGGTAGGGCACACCCCTGCCTTCTGCCTCTCGGGAAGCCATTCATTCATTTTCAAGTACTTGTGGAACATCCGGTGGTCATTTTAAGGAGTGGGTTAGAGGCATTTAGACCACAATCTCCATCAGTCTTGCCGTCCAAACTCGCCCTCAAATAAAAACACAATGTAAGTAAAAACAAGGTGGCAGACAGCAAGGATGGCTTCCACATAAGTCCCTGGGCACTTCCTCACAAGGGCGCTGGGGCCTGGCTTGGTCTTTTCTTACACCTCCTTCTTATTTACTCCCTTCTCTCTTCCTTTTTCACCCTGTTTCTACACTCTCTGTAGCTTAAACTTGCCAGTGACCGTCCTGGAAGCCACTTCACCCCTGCAGCCTGGGGGAGGGGGGATGGGGGGGTGGGGAGACTGGGAGAGAGCCCTCCTAATGCTGCCCGTGACCTTAGGTGCAACCTTGGCAGGCTCGGGTCTCCTGCCACCTCCTCTGAGAAGCCCCACCACCCATGGTCTGGGGCGTGTCCCCCGTCGCTGGGATACCTTGCTCACCCAGCTGAGCCTGCCACTCTTCTGTTGAATCTGTTAAGCAGGAAACATCCCTCCACCCTCCCCAGCCCCCCTCCTGCGTCCCACTCATGTGAAATGTGAAGAATGTCAGTGAATTCTGGCTGCAGTGCCTTTTTCTTTCATGTTGTCAGCCCTGAGCTCTCACGATGGAGAAACCAGGCAGCACTACTACTTTGTAAAAGTCATTTGACCCCAGAATGCAGCACATCAGTTAGAGCCATGGCCGCTAAATTATTTTTCTCTGACAGTCCCTAACCACCCCGACTGGATGACGAAGGGCGCAGAGCAGCGCGAGGGTTTCGGGCCATTCATCTCTGCTCTGCACGCGGCGTCCAAGGGGCCCATTTTACCCTCCCTCGTACCGCTCCCCATGCACACCCACAGCTGGGCGGGGGCTGGGAGGACACTGGGACTCAGGGCCAGGAACCTTCAGCAGTTTATTAAATTCAAATCCTATTATGGATGTGATTCAGGGGGAAAAAATGAAAAGACTTCAGAAATTGCTGTAAATGTGGCTTTTCCTCCTTGCCCTGCCCCAACCTTCCCCAAAACCCTGTCTCTACTTCATGGACCCCCGTCTACACAGCTTGCTTCCTGTCCACGCAGACCCCTGGTCCCACTGCATGGTGGCTCTGGAGCTGAAATTCCTAAAAGCCTGAGTCCCTGGCCCTTGTCTGACGGCCCTGTTAGCACCTGTGTCTGGAGGACAAGCCATGCGTTTTCCTGGGCTGTGTCCCACGCTCGGAAAAGGGCAGGCCCACCTCTGGGGCTGGGGGGAAAGGCCGCCCTCCCGGAGTCCGTCCAGGGAGCCTGGAAGCAGCGCCTCCTGCTGGGACGATGCAGTCTCTGCACTTGGGTGCCGGCCCGGTGCTTGAGGTTCTCTGCCCACAGTCCCAGGCTCACCCCACGCAGGGCTGGCTTCCACGTGCAGGACCACAAAACCACGTCTGGATCCATGGTGTTTCGGTAGAAGCCAGCAAAGATGCTGCACGTCTGCTCAGTGCTCTCCGCCAAAGGCTTGCTCCTATGAAGGAAGCTTCAGAACCATCCCGGAGGGAAGTCTTCTCATTAAGTAACAGTCAATGAAAAAAGTTTCCAATGTGATGGTGCATAGAATCATCTGAGTGGCGTGTTTAGACACCGCTGAGGAGCCTACTGCAAGAACCCAGTAGGTTCTCAAGGGAGGTCAGCGGTCTGCACTTCCAGCTCGTCGGGTGGTCAGAGACCCACACTGTTGAGAGCCACTGCGGCTGGAGCTTGTCATGGTGCTGCTCACAGCCTCAGCCTGGAATGGCAGGGCCGCGGCGGGAAGAGTCTCTGTCCTGCCGGGACAGCTCGCAGGAAGCAGGGCCTCCCAAAGGCCCTCGGAGACCTGCAATAGTGTGTCTGTAAGGGTGAGCGTTGTGGTGGAGGTTGGGATTCACAATATCAGCTTCCTTATAAACACGTGAAGCCACCCTCCAGTGGTAAAGATGACGTACGATAGACTTGTGTGTCATCCGAATTTTGAAAGAGGAAGTTCAGAAGCATGATATTTTCATAAAGATTAAAATCACAGGTGTGGCTTCTTCGTATCTGATTTTCACTATTTCCTGCACCCGGGGGTGTTTCTCAGGATCAGACTCATCTAACCCATCAGCTTCATGGGATCCGAGTCAGCCAGAGTGACAAAGGCAGGCATTTATCAGATTCCTTAGAACTCACACCAGACCTAAACATGTAGGGTTTACAGTACTGGCAGAGGGTTTGCAGGCCAGTCTCCTCTCCATGAGTATCAGCTGATAGGGGCAGTGCCTGCTCAGGTGCACCTGCCTGGCTCATTGCAAACCCCTCATGCTCTCCTCATCTGCAGTCCACTCAAGACTCCTCTAGGTTAACTGGGTACTCAGAAGTAAGAACAAGACTGTGTCAGGATATAAATATGTGCTACCTGGAGGCATCATCATAAAAAATGATAAAATCACAAAACCTACATCTCTCTTCAGTTTGCTCCCCACCCCTAGCATCAAAAGAATTCCTAAGCAAAAACGCAACCATAAAGGAATGCTTTTCAGCATTTTCTTTCTGTGAAAACTATTTAGAAAGGAGAATAAAGTAAACTATAATGCCAGTAAAAATAAATAAATCAGTAAAAGTCACCTGTGTGCTCAGTAACTCTGAAAAGGAAGTTTATTGACTTGTTTGTGAGTTTATCTTTCACCCTCAAGTACCCCCTTTATTTCTTTGTTTTTTAAATTTTCATGTCAGGCAAAGACACCCTGTTGTCCACACACCCTCACCCCGCACTCTCCCACACTCAGTCCAAACTCCAAAGTAGTGCCTTCAGAAACAGTTCCTTGAATGACTTTCTACAAATGTTAAAAGAATCTTTGTTTTGCTGAAAAAAAAAAACTTTCCATTTGCCACACAGCCTTGTAAGAATTATTCCCTGCCAGTGAGAAGTTCTTTATATTTGCGTAAAGACTTGGAGAGACTGGGAGCGGTGGCACCTGGGGCATCCCTGGGCAGCGGAAAAGGCACTAGAACCAGGTGTTTGAACTGGGAACTGTGGGTTTGGGTCTGGGAATGCAGGTATTCAAGACATAAAAAGTGTCTGTGAAGTCCCTGGGAGAAGCTGCCTAGAGTTTGGGCCTTTTCCTCCTGGGATGGACCTGGCTCCGCATTCTCACCAAGCAATCCTCAAGGGCTGAGGGCACAGCAGGTTTCTCTCCTATCCGACATCATAATGGCTTTGCATCCCCAGCTGTTCCCACCAGAGACACCATAGTGAGAGGAAAGCCTGAGGGGTTCATCCTCTGTCCCCACACCAAGAAATACGCAGCTGAATCCTTGCAGAAAAATCATGACCAATTATTGGGATTGCTTCAATCAGTTGAGGCAGCAAGTCAAGATGAAGCCACTTCTTTGATGCCCAGAGCTAAGTCCAGGGTGATTTTTTTCTCCTTCTCTCTCTGTCTGTCTCTCTCTCTGTTACTTCCTCTCTCACACACACTATTTGTGCAGGATGCACATGCACATATGTGTGTATATAGATCTACACCAGAGAGAAAGACTTACAGTCAGCAGAGCTTTGTGCAAACGTAGGAAAAACCTGCTTGTCCTGTGTGAGCGTTTCAGAGACCTACCAAAAGGTCTTTAATTCAGCAAGTTGCTAACATGTCTGTGGCTCAGTTTTCTCCTCTGCACAGAGTTTTTCTGGGGCTCGTGTGTCTACAACAATAGAGTACGCGCTCCATGCTTGTTGGCTGTTATTTGTATTAGCATCATTGTTTTTATGGTGCAATTACAGGTTCAATTATTTAAGATACTTATGCCCACACCAAAGTATATTAAAAGCAAATAAAAGGCCTGATGGCTCATGTCGCTCCCATCCTGGGTGAAGGTGTTTTCTAGATTAAGGGAAGACATTTGCTTGGGGTCTGCAGGCTCCTTGCAAGGGGTTACCAGATAAAATACAGTGACAAGCTTACATTTAAAAATTGTAATTATTTATCTGAAATTCAAATTTAACCAGATGTCTTATATTTTATTTGCTAAAAAAACCATGCATCCCTCCTTGCAACTGAAAAGTGAGAAAGGAGGTGAGATTGTGGTGCCAGGGACAGGAGGGTCCCGTGGGAAGAGGGAGACTCCAGCAGCCACCTGTCTGCCACTGTGCCCACCAACCTCCCTCATTTTTCTCAGAGCACTCAGAGAGGTCACGGATATGCCAGTGTCCTAGGGTGGGGACACTAACGATTTTTGGGTCTTTTCCTGTCTCCCTCACTCAAATATTGAAGTCCCCTCTGGCTAGAAACCAGCCATTCAGTCTCACTCACTTTGTGAATAAATCGAATGGAGGAGGGATAATCACAAGTGGGCCAGGAGCCAAGCATCTTTGCAGTGTCCTGAGTTCGGTTTCACGTCTCTGCCCTTTTGCTGACAGGAACTCTTTTAACCCCCTGTGCAGACAGTCACTGTTGATTTCACTTACGTGTAAAATTACAAAGGGCTTGCTGTGAGTGGGGGCCCTAGAAGAACCCTCCTGACCATAAAGCCCAGGAATCCGGGGTTAAAACGAACGTCATTTCTGTCGTGGCAAAGGTCTCAGTGTGTAACTCAGGGAGAAGACTGAAGAGAGACCAGTTAGGTAGGAATCAGCCCTTCCTTCCTAATGGTTTTCAATAATTCCATAACTTACTTAAGGAGAAAAATCAGGATTTCACAATTGGCTTGTTTGAAGTTAGTTCTCGTGTCTTAGAAGTGGTGATGAGTGTGTTGTTGTTGCTTTGCTTGAGAAGGCTGGAGGGAGGTGAGATTGAAGAACAGTGTGTGCCATTTTTCATCATGATGGCTTCCAAAGAATGGGCTTTAAGATGGTGTCACTCCTACATGCAGCTTTTCCTCCAGACTTGGGCCAGCCCTAAGGCTTCCCTGGAAGGCCAGCATGAAAGCCCCAACTCCCCTCCATCATCCCCAGGTCAGCTAAGTGCCCTGGGAGGCTTCAGTCACTGGGGACAAGCAGAGCCTCGTTGAAGCTGAGGTTCTGGGTCCTGGTAATGGATCGTTGGGGCTGTGTGAAGTTCTGTTGTTTTCCACCAGCTCACCCCAGGCGGTTCTGTTCTCTGTGAAGCCCTCCAGGGGGTGGGTCCCCAGGACGCCCTTCCACCCCAGCTGGCTGCCTGTGTCTCTGGGACCATTCTTCCCATGCGCCTGTGGCCACATCACCTGCTTTGAAGCAGGAATGATCCCAGCAGCTTGCTTTCTTTCAGCACCTCACCTTCTGGGTTTTGTGGCCACACACACCATCCTGTGGTCCATGCAGGAAGGCAAGGTGCTCTTTTAGGGAAGGAAAAACAGTCCTGCAGATCCAGCCATCCCCAAACCTTCTGGCTTTCTTCGTGTCCTGGGTCTGTGAAAGAGGTGCTGACGGCCAGAAAAAGAGCGAGAGGTCACTCATTGTCATTACACATGGAAAAAAAAACTTTCAGAAAATCCTTCCTTAATGAGGCACTAGAGGCTTTGTAGATGCTTAACAATACATTTATGCATTTATACAATGTAAATACAATGTATGATATACATTTATACACTATACATGTATACAATGTATATACAATGTATGCTATATATTTCTATAACATATGTATAAAATGTATATACAATTGTGATATGTTTACACAACATATATACAATGTACAGCATACATTATGCAATGTACATGCAATCACAATGTATGTTTATACAATGTATGCAATGTACGATATACATTTATATAATAGCTTCTGCCACCCTACTTCCTACTAAAACATGTTAGGTGAAATTGTAATATGTAACTGATAAGTATTTAAGCCTATAGGTTCCCAATACCATGTTTGGAATTTTCAAATATGGTTAATATGACTGTCCATTAGTTAAGCAGGGCCTGTGAGCCAAGCTTCACCACTTGTCTCTATTCCACAGCCATGATTACTGATGATAACAACAGTGCCATTAGCAGCTAATATTTCCCAGGCACTTAATCTGGGTCACACATTATTCTACGTGCTTTACATGCACAGTAACGCTCATTTAAAATTTTTGAGGTCTGTTTTACAGAGAAGGACGTTGAGTTTCCGGAGACCTGAGTCCCACGTCCAAAGTCTAGTCACTGAGGGGTGGAGCAGGGAGGACAGTTACAGACAGCAGAGCTCAGCTTCTGTGGGGCTGGGGCTCATCCTCAAGACTCCAGCCTGCTCCATCCTCCCAGCCCCCAAGGGCTTTAGGCTGATGGAGGACACAGAACACTGTTCATTAAAATAGAGGTCTATGATTTAGCACAGCAAGAGTGACAAGAGTGTTTGTTATTAGTTCCAAACAGGGAGAAACCACGGTGGGCTGACTGGCAGGGAAGAGTTGATTGAAAGACTGCAGAGCCCGACTGTGTGGGAGGAGGTGGGCAGCCAGGGGAGGGACACATACCTGGGCATCATGTCCTGGTGGTTGGAGACTCCTGAACACATGGGAGCCTCGTGGGAGCCCTCAGGGAGGTGCAAGCTGGAGAGGATCGGGTCACCTGCCTGCAGGGGCTCCACTGCCCTCCTGGGCTGGTGCCGCCTTGGGTACCTCCATGGAGCTCAGAGGCTAGAGGGTCTTGCTCCCCATGGGAAGGTGGCTCTGTAAGCAGAGAGCCTACAGCCTCCCTGGGGTAGACAATGGCTCCATTAGGATGGCTGAGCCCCCTTCCTTTGGGACTCATCATTACACCAAAAAGGACAGGGTCAGCTAAAGGAGATGGCAACTGGGAAAAGCCAACGTTTAAATGAACCAGAGAAAGGAAAGAGGTGCATCCGAGAGAGGAGAGGGGATGTGGGAGAGCACATGGGGTGCCACCTTCCCCATCCCAAGGATGCCCAGGAGGGCCCTGCTCCCCGATCCCTCTCCCCTGAGCCCCCTCTCCTTCGCCCATTGTCACATCCCCTGAGGCTCCTCTTTTCATGCACGTACCTGTGAAGGGACACCAAACAGGCTTTGTGTGAGCAACAAGGCCGTTTATTTCACCTGGGTGCAGGTGGGCTGAGTCCAAAAAGAGAATCAGCGAAGGGAGATGGGGGTGGGGCCGTTTTATAGGATTTGGGTAGGTAAAGGAAAAAGGGGGGCTGTTCTCTGGTGGGCAGGGGTGGGGGTCACAAGGTGCTCAGCAGGGGAGCTTTTGAGCCAGGATGAGCCAGGAGAAGGAATTTCACAAAGTAATGTCATCAGTTAAGGCAGAAACCGGCCAGATGGATGTGTACCTGCAGGTCACAGCGAATATGATGGCTTAGCTTGGGCTCAGAGGCCTGACATTCCTGTCTTCTTATATTAATAAGAAAAATAGAACGAAATAGTGGTAAAGTATTGGGGCGGCGAAAATTTTTGGGGGTGGTATGGAGAGATAATGGGCGATGTTTCTCAGGGCTGCTTCAAGCAGGATTAGGGGTGGCGTGGAAACCTAGAGTGGGAGAGATTAAGCTGAAGGATGATTTTGTGGTAAGGGGTGATATTGTGGAATAGTCCTGTAGAATTATTGGTGATGGCCTGGATACGGTTTTGTTCGAGTGTCTACGAGCAACCTCTGTTATTTACGGGGCTGTGTATAAGTAAACAAGAAGAGGGCATGGGAGGAGAGTCTGATGAGCAAGGGGAAGGTAGCCAAGGATGGAGTGAAATACAGGGTGTCTTCCTAGCAATAACTACTGGTTTTTAAGTGTGCCAGTATTGATAGAGGGCTTGTCTGTTATACGGAACTGGAAGGCTCTAATTGTTTCTGTGATGTGTGTAGTTGGGCTTTGGAGATGAGGAGGAAAGGAACATCGAGAAGGTGAAAGGTTACCCAGGGGAATTCCAGTGGGTCTTTGCTGAGAGATACATAACGGAGTGGCCACAGGAATAGTAGTTTGTGTCGTGAGAGGTCCAAATATGGGCGGAGTAGAGTTGATATAATGAGAAGGGTTTTTTAAGTAAGTGCGGAGGAGGGCGGTGGCTTGCTGATGTGAAATGTCTGGGGAGGTCTTGCTGGACCTGTCTAGAAAGTAAATGAGTTCTTCAGGAGGGTAAAGGTGAGGGCTGTTAAAGGAAGTTCAGAAGTGTAGGGAGACAAGAGATGTTGCCCGGTCTGCATGTAAGCGGGTACAGCTGTGTAGGCGCTGGAAGAAAGGGAAATGCAAAGCCAGCGGATGTTCGCTAAGGAGGGATTAGAAGCGGCTAGGAGAGAATGGGTAAGGTTGATAGTGTGGTGGAGATAGCTGGGGAGAGGTAGAGGGTGCCCTAAGAATGGGAAAGAATAGAACTTCATCAGGGTGAAAGTATTGAAGGGTCTTCTGCCAGCAAAGATCATCTATCCACTCTAAGAGGGACTTAAGAGTTGCCAGTCCTAGGCGGGGGCCAATCCCCGTGCTTGATGTGTAGGGAAGGGAGGGGGCCTGAATAATCCCTGAGGAGTAGTAGAATAGCAGATGGAACACTGAGAGGTGATTTCCTTGAGGATAGATTTCTACAACGGAAAGGAAATGAGAGGTTCTAAGAGGAGGGCTGGTGGCTTGTACTATAGTATAGCCTGCCTTTCCTGGTGTGTGGGGATTAGGCCTGGTGGAACTGCCATCAATAAACTAAATGTGATCAAGGTGAGGAACAGGGAAGAAGGAAATATGGGGAAATGGGGTGAATGTCAGGTGGATCAGAGAGATACAGTCATGAGGGTCAGGTGTGGTATCTGGAATAATGTGGGAGGCTGGATTGAAGTCCAGGCCAGGAACAATGGTAATTGTGGGAGACTCAACAAAGAGTAAGTATAGCTGAAGAAGCCGGGGAGCAGAAAGTATATGCGTCAGGTATGAGGAAGAAAGTAGATTTTGGAAGTTATGAGAACTGCAGAGAATGAGTTGAGCATAGTTTGTGATTTTGAGGGCCTCTAAAAGTATTAAGGCAGTGGCAGCCGCTGCATGCAGACATGAGGGCTGGGCTAAAACAGTAAGGTCAAGTTGTTTGGACAGAAAGGCTACAGGACGCGGTCCTGGCTCTTGTGTAAGAATTCCGACTGCACAGCCCTGCACTTCAGCTGTGGGTAATGAAAAGGGTCAGGATGAGTCAGGGAGAGCTAGGGTGGCGGCAGTCTCTAAAGCTGTCTTCAAGGAAGTGGAAGAGGAGTGGGGAAAGGATTTAGGATCTACGGGGTCAGCTAGGTTTCCTTTTGTGAGTTTATATAACGGTTTTGTTAGGATGGCAAAACCAGGTATCTAAAGTTGAAAGTATCTAACCATGCCTAGGAAGGAAAGGAGTTGTTTTGTAGAAGGTGCTTGGGTTTGAGAGATCAGTTGGACACAATTGGCAGGGAGAGCACGTGTGTTTTTATGAGAATTATGACAAGATAGGTAACAGATGAGGAAGAAATTTGGGCTTGACTGAAGTAATGGGGGCTGTCTGTGAAGCTTTGCGGCAGTACAGCCCAGGTAATTTGCTGAGCCTGATGGGTGTCAGGGTCAGTCCAAGTGAAAGCGAAGAGAGGCTGGGATGAAGGGTGCAAAGGAATAGTAAAGAAAGCATGTTTGAGATACAGAACAGAATAATGGGTTGTGGAGGGAGGTGTTGAAGATAGGAGAGTATATGGGTTTGGCACCAAGGGGTGGATAGGCAAAACAATTTGGTTGATAAGGCACAGATCCTGAACTAACCTGTAAGCCTTGTCTGGTTTTAGGACAGGTAAAATGGGGGAATTGTAAGGGGAGGTTATAGGCTTTAAAAGGCCATGCTGTAGCAGGCGAGTGATAACAGACTTTAATCCTTTTAAAGCATGCTGTGGGATGAGATATTGGCATTGAGTGGGGTAACGGTGATTAGGTTTTAATGGGATGGTGAGGGGTGCATGATCGGTCACTAAGGAGGGAGTAGAGGTATCTTATACTTGTGGGTTAAGGTGGGGAGATACAAGGGGAGGATGTGAAGGAGGCTTTGAACTGGGGGAAAAGGCGGCAATGAATAGTCAGGGAATAGTCAGGGAAGCAGATAATTTAAAGTGTCTCGGCCTAATAAGGGAACTGGGCAGGTGGGGATAACTAAAAGGAGTACTTAAAAGAGTATTGTCTAAGTTGGCACCAGAGTTGGGGAGTTTTAAGAGGTTTAGAAGCCTGGCCGTCAATACCTACAACAGTTATGGAGGCAAGGGAAACAGGCCTTTGAAAAGAAGGTAATGTGGAGTGGGTAGCCTCCGTATTGATGAAGAAGGGGACGGACTTACCTTCCACTGTGAGTTACCCGAAGCTCAGCATCCGTGATGGTCCAGGAGGCTTCTGAGGTGATCGGGCAGCGTCAGTCTTCAAGCGCTAAGCCGAGAAGATTTGGGAAGGAGTCAGAGAGCCTTGGGCCAGAGTTCCAGGGGCTCTGGGAGTGGCAGCCAGGTGAGTTGAACAGTCTGATTTTCAGTGGGGTCCTGCACAGATGGGACACGGCTTAGGAGGAATCCTGGGTTGCGGGCATTCCTTGGCCCGGTGGCCAGATTTCTGGCACTTGTAGCAAGCTTCTCGGGTAAACGGGCCTGGAGGAAACCCTGGCAGCTGCGGTTCAGGCGTTCCAGTTCTTGCGTGCTGGAGATATGGCGGGGGTTTGTCTCACAGTGGATGCAAGGAATTGCAACTCAGAAATACATTGCTACTTGGCTGCCTCTACTTTATTATTGTACACCTTGAAGGCGAGGTGTACAATTAAGTCCTGCTGTGGGGTTTGAGGGCCGGAATTTAATTTTTGGAGTTTTATTTAATGTCGGGAGCGGATTGGGTAATAAAATGTATATTGAGAATAAGATGACCTTTTGACCTTTCAGGGTCTAGGGCTGTAAAGCATCTCAGGGTTGCTGCCGAACGAGCCATGAACTGGGCTGGATTTTTATATTTGATGAAAAAGAGCCTAAACGCTAACTGATTTGGGAGAGGTCGGGTAAAGAAAAGGAGCATTAACCCTGACTATGCCTTTAGCTCCAGCCACCTTTTTAAGAGGAAATTGCTGGGCAGGTGGGGGAGAGCTAGTCACGGAACGAAACTGTAAGTCAGACCAGGTGTGAGGAGGGGAGGTGATAAAAGGATTATTGGGTAGAGGAGCGGAGGCTGATGAAGAATTGGGACCTAGCTCGGTCTGGCGAGGAGCAGCCTGGGGAGGAGCGGAGGGGTCAGATGGGTCTGTAGAAAAGGAAGATTGGAAAGAGGAAAGACTCAGCAACGCTTGGGATTGGGACTGAGGGGAGGGAAAGAAGGAAGATTTGGGATGAGTTGCATTGGGAACAGACTAGGGATGTATGAAAGAAAGCCTGGACGTCAGGCACTTCAGACCGTTTGCCTATTTTACGACAAGAATTATTTAGATCTTGTAGGATGGAGAAATCGAAAGTGCCGTTTTCTGGTCATTTAGAGCCATTGTCAAGTTTGTACTGGGGCCAAGTGGTGTTGCAGAAGAAAATAAGACGCTTAGATTTTAGGTCAGGCGAGAGTTGAAGAGGTTTTAAGTTCCTGAGAACATAGGCTAAGGGAGAAGAAGGAGGAATGGAGGGTGGAAAGTTGCCCATAGTGAAGGAGGCAAGTTTAAAGGGAAGGGTAGAGGCATGGAGAATTGGTTGTGGGGAGCAGCCAAGGCAGGCGTCCCCACAATTGACCTGCCACCAAGGGAACGTGGGTGAATGACCAAGGCAGGCTTCCCCACGGAGATCAGACATCAGTGGAACATGGATGAATAATCAGAGAGGCGTCCCCATAAATGATTAAACACCAAGGGAAGGCTGCCTTCCCAAGTCCGTGACCAGCGCCGGAGTTTTGGGTCAATGGATAAAATGTGTCTCCTTTGTCTCTACAAGAAATGAAAGGAATTGAAATTAAGAGAAGGGAGAGATTGAAGGGTGGCGCCAAGATTGAAAGGAGAAAGAGGTTGAGGGATAGTGAGGGAGGTTGGAGAAGAGAGTAAAAAAGAGGCCACTTACTGGATTTAAAATTGGTGAGATGTTCCTTGGGCTGGTCGGTCTGAGGACCCGAGGTTGTAGGTGGATCTTTCTCACAGAGCAAAGAGCAGGAGGACAGGGGATTGATCTCCTAAGGGAGGTCCCCTGATCTGAGTCACGGCACCAAATTTCATGCACGTTCGTGTGAAAGGACCACCAAACAGGCTTTGTGGGAGCAACATGGCTGTTTATTTCACCTGGTTGCAGGCGGGCTGAGTCCAAAAAGAGAGTCAGCGAAGGGAGGTAGGGGTGGGGCTGTTTTATAAGATTTGGGTAGGTAAAGGAAGAAGGGGGGTTGTTCTCTGGCAGGCAGGGGTGGGAGTCACAAGGTGCTCAGCAGGGGAGCTTTTGAGCCAGGATGAGCCAGGAGAAGGACGTTCATAAGGTAATGTCATCATCAGTTAAGGCAGGAACAGGCCATTTTCACTTCTTTTGTGGTGGAATGTCATCAGTTAAGGCAGAAACTGGCCATCTGGATGTGTACCTGCAGGTCACAGGGGATATGATGGCTTAGCTTGGGCTCAGAGGCCTGACACCTCCCCTGAGTCCATAGTCCCATCCCCTGAGCCCTCTCCCCTGAGCCCTCTCTCCTTCCCCCATTGTCACACAGGCCTCTTTCCATCGTTCTCGCAGCACCTGGTGACTTCCTGGGCCGCTGTCGCTTGCATGCCTGCCTGTGCCTCCCATGAGCCCCAGAGCTGAGGTGGATGGGTGCTGGGCTCACTGAGGGGACAGCCCTGGGGTGCATGGGCACTCAGCTCCCAGCGTTGGCCTCAGCAGCAGCCCGGCCATCCTCACACAGTCTCAGGGTGCCCAGATAGAGCCCAAAGCCAGCAGTCGGGACCTGGACCCCATCTCGGGGCCTTCACAGCCCTTAATTCTGCTTCTCCCCATGTCAACTCAGGTTCCCTTGGAAACAGACAGCAGACAGAGCAGAGGGGGTGGGAGGAGGAGAGCAGGGCACAAGGGGTAGGGGGCAGAGCTGCAGGGAGGGCCTCAGATGGAGGCAGCCGAGGGAGGCACCTCCCGGCCAAGGGCCCCAGACCACCCACTCCAGACAGAGTCTGGGCCAACGCCGCAGGGAGCAAGCACTGCTCAGGCTGGCAAGAGTCACAGGCTCCAGGGCTCAGGCGTCGCCTGACAGCCCAGGAGTGGCAGCAGCAGCAAGACCTGTAGGCTCAGAGTCACCACAGAGGCCCCTCAACCGCTCACCCAGGAAACCCACATCCCAGACTCCCCAGACCCCTTCCTGAATCAGCTTTCCACGAGCACAGGCAACAGTGGTTTCTTTAGAGACATCAGACAGTTTCCTGAGAGTTTAGAAACAACAGGGAAATGTTCCTCCCATGAGAAATGACTTTGTAGCCACTCCCACCCCAGCCCCCAGCAATGCAGGGCACACCCCGTGCTCAGCAAATCACTGCACCACAGGACCGAGATAGCCCTGCAGGGGCCCGGGATTCACATTCCCACTGTCTCTGTTTCGCTCTGTCTCTGTCTCCCTCTTCTGTCTCTGTCTCTCTCGGTCCCTGTCTCTGTTTGTCTCTGTCTCTCTCTCTCAGTATCTCTCTGTCTCCGTCTCTGTCTGTCTCTCTCCACCCCTATCTCTCTCTATCTCTGTCTCTGTGTCTGTCTCTGTCTCCGTATCCCTCTCTGTTCCTGTATCTCTCTACCTCCCTCCATCTCTTACTGCCTCTCTCTTCCCATTCATCTCCCAATTACCCTGAGCCTATTTCAGCTCCCTTCTCAGCAATCCTGGTGTCCACTGGGGGTGCCTTCGGTGCACTGCGTACGTGGGGTCCAGAGGAGGGCGTTACCTGTGAGCGCTGTCGGGAGGCGTTGATGGCTGTGCTCCTTGTGCACCAGCCGGGTCGAGGCACCCGTGGTCTTACTGAGGGTCTCGTAGCCGATGGGCGTGAAGAGCTGAGGTGAGGGCTGAGGCCTCCTGGCTCCTGATCTGTGTGCTCTTCAGTGGTCTCCTGGGCAGGGGACAGGTCACACGGCTGCCATCCACAGCCCTGGAGAAGGTGGTGAGCTTAGTCTCCAGAGCCAGTCTCCTGCATCTGCTTACCAGCTGTGGGACCTAAGCCCTTGAGTGCCAAGTACCCGTGCCCTGGTTTCTTCTCATTCCTAAATGAGATGATACCAAAAGCAGTCGCTCACAGAGCAGCTGGGAGAATGAAACGGGCAGATGCATGAACCATGCTCAGAGTGGCATTTGGCAATCTCATTCTTGTCCCAGGGACGCCGGCTGGGGAGACAAGGCCTCGGTCCTCTGACACGACTCACTGCAACTTTATGATCAGGAAGGCGGGAAAGGGAGAAGGGATTTCAGGGAAAATCCAGACGAGCTCCTCTAATCCCATTTCTGGAGTAACACGTTGAGGGCTGGCGTGCGGGGCTGGGAAGTCAGAGCAGAACCGAAGGGAATGGGCCAGTCCTGGGCCCCTCTGGGCCTGCACTTCCTCATCTTGAAAATAAGGATCTGTGATGGAATGTTCACATGCAGTTCTCACATCCTGAGAAAATAGAACCCGTGTTAAGATGTCCATAGGTCAACATGATGTATCCAATATGGGCACATATGCTGGGGGCTGCTTTCTTGGTAACATTTGAAGAGCAGCAAACAGGCACACGTCCCCATTGACATGCAATCTGCAGCATTTTGCCCAAAACTGGAGCTTATATTTTCTCACTCCTGTAGTATTTTCCATTAAATTCTAGCTTTCCAAACCAATGGGAAACAGAGGACCCTGGGCAGATGGGAGAAGGCAAGGACCCACGTGCCCTCGCCTGACATGGGCCTGGCTCCCGGCCTGCTGCCCCAGGTAGTGTCTGGAGCAGGAGACGGGGTGGGGCACCCCTGGCATCTCTGCCTCTGATGGCCTTGCTCTTGCCTTTAGTTCCCTAGTACCAAGTGCCTCTGTAAAGGCTGGAGCCTGCAGCATGGCTGGGGGTCAAATCTGTTTAAATATGCCACATCTCGAGGCATTTTATGTCTTCCTCCCCACAAATGCTCCCAGATCATTCTGAAGAGCAAGACTCAGTAACACTGAAAGCCAGTTCATGCCCCTGTCAACAACAACTGTCTCATATGCTGCATTTTTAAGTAAAGCGCGGTGACAACCTCAGGTCCCCAGAGTTGGAGGGCACCTGTGTTCACAGCACCCACAAGAGGGGCAGGAACTGAGGGGCTGAGGGGTTCTCGCGGTTGGTGAGAGACGAACTCGTTATTCCCAATCTCAAGCCCCATCTCCTTCACTGCCACATTCTGGCCACTCTCTCACCCATACATCTGAGACCCTGTCGGTGCATGGGGAGTAATAAAGTGGAATGAGAGTTTGTAACAACGGCACCACGATTAAAGGTTTTTAAAATGCATTTTTCTAAATTAATGCACACGGTGGAATTGTGAATTCACTCAAGTATTCAAAATTAAAGGCGAACAGAACAACAGTTACTATACAAACACTAAGTGTGAATGGGTCTTTAAAAAAATACAGGGCATTTTCCTTCTGATCATGATGATAATACACACAGTGGTGGAAGGCATCCTCTGCCGGCAGTCTCTCTTTTGCCTTAACCACGGTTCATTTGTGATGATTTTAGTAAAATGAAAAGTGTTTAGTAAAATGGCTCTCAGGTTGCAGGGTTTGGTGTGGAGGCTTTATTCAGTTATCTAAACTGAGAAATCTAAGTGAATATCCTTCCATCAAGCACACGTGTCGGCCTGCAGCATCCATGCAAAGTTGTTCTGGATTTCAATGCCAAGAAACAGGAATTCAAATGCTAAGAATAGACTGAAAGGGGCAGAGTCATGCGTCCATGTGGATTCTGTACATGACCCTACAATTCTTGTCCTGTCCCTCAAAAAAGAAGGGGTGCTGTCCTCACTATCAGAGTCACGGGGGGAAACACAGCAGCAGCCCTTCTGTCCAGCCAGCTCCCCAGATGGGAATCCAGGTCACCAGCAGAGCCGTGTGCATGAGGCTGGGCTGGCTCAGTTCCCAAGGGCAGGAGGACATGGGGTCAGTTGAGCTCTGACAACTGTGGTCACAGGAGTGTCCACAGGGTGCCGAAAAGGTCCTGGTGTGTCCATTCTGATGGAACCAAAGGAAAGCCTTCTGGGAAGCTGGAGGATGTGGACTTGAGCCTGGCTCTGCCTCTTGCCAGCTGGGTGTCCGGAGCAACATATGCAGACTCTGAGCAACCTCACCTGCGGAGCAGCCAGGGTTTCCAAAGGAGGGAGCTTCTCTGAGCACCTCTAAGGTCAGAGGGCATTGGCCCATGAAAGAGTCCCTGGACTGTGCAGTCCAGCCCATGCTGACACCATTCTGGGTCTGACGAGGCCTCGTGAGGGGGGACCACCGTGACAGGTGGGTCTGGCATAAGAGTGAAGCATCCTCACCCCCCAGGCTGCGGCGGTTTCCTCCACGTGCCCTCCTGGCTCACACCCGAGGCTGCGGCGGTTCCCTCCACGTGCCCTCCTGGCTCACCTGCCAGGCTGCGGCGGTTTCCTCCATGTGCCCTTCTGGGCAGCTGTGTTCCCTGAGGGGGCCACCTGCCTCTTTGGTGCCACCAAGTCCCACAGTCTGTTTTATTTCTTGGCCGGGGAGGACATTATGCACGGAGCTCGGAAACACAATGAAGGCCACATGGAGAAACAGCGGGCACACGGGTGTGGGCCTGGCCCAACCCCCAGCACAGCCAGGCTGAGGGCTCCTCTCCTGCCCATTCATAGAATGTGGGTGCTGACGCCAACCTCCTGGTTTATTTGGGGCCCCACAGTACAGTGTGTGTGAGAGTGCCTCGCCGTGCCCGTCCCAGAAGTCACAGCCATGTCCACGGCTTTCACTCTGACCACCCTCCTAGCACCAGTTGCTGACATTTTGCCTCCTGGGAAACAGTCTGTGAAAGGCATGGGGTCCGTGTGCGACTCCCTGTGGCTGCCAGAAGGGTGCTGGGGTCGGCCTCCTGCAGCGGCCTGGCGGGTCAGGTCACCTGCCCAGGCGTCTCCCCTCTTATACTCAGCGTTCAGCGCCCATTTATGCTTTGTGACAATTCTTGCCTTTTACCTTCCCTCTGTAAGTGTAACTTTAATTCTTTACTAAAGGCAGGGTTATTCCCAAACAACACCAGGAAAAATATTCTGAGCCCTTCCTTCTCCTGCCATGCAGCTTTGGGCATGCTGAGGCATCACCTTCTCACCAGGTCATTGCCGCGACGGCCACGCAGGCTCCAAGAGTTCACACATGACCTTGACTGAGTCCTCTCGCTGCTGAACAAAGGAACCTATTTCCCTGCCTTGTAGCTTGGTCTGATGGTTTGATGAGTAAATCGGATGCCGGTAGAATTTTAGAAACATTGACCCTGTCCGTTATCTTACAGAAATGGGACCCAAATCCTGTGAGGCAGGTGGCTTGGGTGAGGACTCACGGCCACAGGTGGGAGAGCCATGATTAGGAGGACCCAGCCCTGCTCAATCACACAGATGCCTCCTGCACAACCTGAGTTTTTTTAACTCTTATTTTAGGTTCAAGGGTACATGTGCAGGTTTGCTATATGGGTAAATTGTGTGTTGTGGGGGTTTGGTGTACAGATTGTTTTGTTACCCATGTGATTAGCACAGTGCCCGAGAGGTGGATTTTCAGTCCTCACCCTCCTCCCACCCTTCACCCTCAAGTAGTTCCCAGTATCTGTTGCTCCCCCATTTGTGGCCATAGGTGCCCAGTGTTTCGCTCCCACATATAAGTGAGAACATGGATAT
This sequence comes from Homo sapiens, assembly GCF_000001405.40. NCBI lineage: Eukaryota > Metazoa > Chordata > Mammalia > Primates > Hominidae > Homo > Homo sapiens. The sequence goes on along the minus strand of NC_000010.11, from coordinate 1,343,783 downwards.
TTGGCTTTCTTTTCCTGCATTAGTTTGCTTAGGATAAGGGCTTCCAGCTCCATCCATGTTCCTGCAGAAGACATGATCTGGTTCTTCTTTATGGCTGCATAGTATTCCATGGTGTATATGTAGCATATTTTCTGTATCCAGTCCACAATGGATGGGCATTTAGGTTGATTCCATGACTTTGCAATTGTGAATAGTGCTGCGATGGACATGCGCGTGCCTGTGTGTCTATGGTAGAACAATTTATATTCCTTTGGGTATATACCCAGTAATGGGGTTGCTGGGTCAGATGGTAGTTCTGTTTTAAGTTCTTTGAGAATTTGCCAAATTGCTTTCCACAATGGCCGAGCTAATCTACATTCCCACTAGCTCATTCCCACTGAGCTAATTTACATTCCATTCTTTTTTCTCGCCAGCATCTGTTATTTTTGGACTTTTTAGTACTAGCCATTCTGACGGCTGTGAGATGGTATCTCATTGTGGTTTTGATTTGCATTTCTCTAATGATCAGTGATGTTGAGCTTTTTTTCATATGCTTATTGACTGCATGGATGTCTTCTTTTGAGAGGTGTCTGTGCATGTCCTTTGCCCACTTTTTTATGGGGTTGTTTGAAAACCTGGTTTTTATGTACAGGCTTCCTATGACTTCCAATGTCAGAAAAGCCCTGACTAACTTCATGTCTTGTGTATAGATCTCATTTCTCTTCACCCTAGATCTGTCTTTTATGCTCCATTCTTTCTCCTTGTGTTGTTGGGAACCAGCAGGTCATGACCACACCCTGTTCTTGTGTCTGCAAAAGCATTTTTTATCATACAAGTCTCTTAAGTTGAAGTTCCAACATTTTTCTCCAACTTTTGTGCATTCCCCAATTTGGAGATCACTTTCTTATGTGATTCACAAACAAGGCTCTTGTTTTTGAGATGCAGGGAGGAGACTTGTGTTCAAAAAAAGGACTAACTAAAAAGAGTAATAAATGTGGGAGAGAAGATGAGAACTGATCACAGCAAAAGACCTCTTTTCCTAATCAGCTTGTCACCCCATTGCAATACAGTCAGGTGGACAAAGATGCAGAAAAGGTGGCTGAACGATTGGGGCGGTAGGTTTCCTAACTCAGAGCCAGAGTGCTGCTGATGTCCTCAAGTGCTAGCCCATCACAGGCAGGGCTGGATGAGGCTGAGACTTTCCACCCCCACCCCACCCATGTCTGAGAGCATCTCAGGGTACTCTCCTCCCATGGGTCTGCGATCTCCAAGAGGAGGAGAGAGGGAAAGACTGGCTTCCCAAAGCTCCTCCTTCTCCCTAGGAATGGCCACCTGAAGAAGACTGCAGGAGTCAGGAGTCACTGTTCCCTGAATGTTTCTCGATGCTGTAATGTTTAATGTGAGCAGACAACCAAGCGGCGTGCATGGTAGTTGGGCAGAGGCCTCAGAGTCAAGGCCCTGTTGGTGTCAGTCCTGGTTCTGTGGGGCCATGTGTGTGTTTGAGGGACTTGCCTCAGCCTTCTCCATGGCATGGGGAAGCTGAGGAAGGGGGTCTATCACAGGGTGGTTTTAATGATAAAATGGGACATCCAGGCAGAGGGTTAAAAATTCATGAAAAGCTGGATTTGACTCTCACTGTCTTCACTGTAACTGCCCATCTTTGAGAGTGAGCAGGAGGTTGGGACACCCCAAGATGTGGGCACTGCCAGCCAACCACACATTCCTGCACAGCTGCAGCATAGTTCTGACTAAATTCCAGACAAAACCTGGCTGAAAGAAAATGTAGCAATACCATGATCAATGAGCCTGGGGTGCACACATCAGAAAGAAGAGTGAGAGGGTGAAAGTGGCTCAGGAAAAAGTTATCACAAAAGAGCCCCATTCCGCCTGAAGGAAATCGCCACTGCGGGGCACTTTGTTCTCTGGTGGATGCTGGTTATCGCTGCTGTGGGGCAGTTGGTTCTCTGGTGGATGCTGGTTATCACTGCTTTGGGGCACGTGGTTCTCTGGCTGATGCTGATTATCACCACTGAGGGACACTTTGTTCTCTGGTGGATGCTGGTTATCGCCGCTGTGGGGCACGTGGTTCCCTGGTGGATGCTGGTTATCCCCGCTGTGGGGCATGTGGTTCTCTAGCTGATGCTGATTATCGCCGTTGCAGGGCACGTTGTTCTCTGGTGGATGCTGGTTATTGCCGCTGTGGGGCGCGTGGTTCTCTGGTGGATGCTGGTTATTGCCACTGTGGGGCACGTGGTTCTCTGGTGGATGCTTGTTATTGCCGCTGTGGGGCATGTGGTTCTCTGGTGGATGCTGGTTATTGCCACTGTGGGGCACGTGGTTCTCTGGTGGATGCCGGTTATTGCCGCTGTGGGGTGCGTCGTTCTCTGGTGGATGCTGGTTATTGCCGCTGTGGGGCATGTGGTTCTCTGGCTGATGCTGATTATCGCCGTTGCAGGGCACGTTGTTCTCTGGTGGATGCTGGTTATTGCCACTGTGGGGCACGTGGTTCTCTGGTGGATGCTGGTTATTGCCGCTGTGGGGCATGTGGTTCTCTGGTGGATGCTGGTTATTGCCACTGTGGGGCACGTGGTTCTCTGGTGGATGCTGGTTATTGCCGCTGTGGGGCACATGGTTCTCTGGTGGATGCTGGTTATCACTGCTTTGGGGCATGTGGTTCTCTGCCTGATGATGATTATCACCACTGTAGGACACTTTGTTCTGTGGTGGATGCCAGTTATCGCCGCTGTGGGGCACGTGGTTCTCTGGTGGATGCTGGTTATTGCCGATGTGGGGCACAGGGTTCTCTGGTGGATGCTGGTTATCACTGCTTTGGGGCATGTGGTTCTCTGCCTGATGCTGATTATCACCACTGCGGGACACTTTGTTCTCTGGTGGATGCTGGTTATTGCCGCTGTGGGGCGCGTGGTTCTCTGGTGGATGCTGGTTATTGCCACTGTGGGGTGTGTGGTTCTCTGGTGGATGCTGGTTATTGCCGCTGTGGGGCGCGTGGTTCTCTGGTGGATGCTGGTTATCGCCGCTGTGGGGCACGTGGTTCTCTGGTGGATGCTGGTTATTGCCGCTGTGGGGCGCGTGGTTCTCTGGTGGATGCCGGTTATTGCCACTGTGGGGCACGTGGTTCTCTGGTGGATGCCGGTTATTGCCGCTGTGGGGTGTGTGGTTCTCTGGTGGATGCCGGTTATTGCCGCTGTGGGGCACGTGGTTCTCTGGTGGATGCCGGTTATTGCCGCTGTGGGGCGTGTGGTTCTCTGGTGGATGCCGGTTATTGCCGCTGTGGGGCACGTGGTTCTCTGGTGGATGCCGGTTATTGCCGCTGTGGGGCGTGTGGTTCTCTGGTGGATGCCGGTTATTGCCGCTGTGGGGCACGTGGTTCTCTGGTGGATGCCGGTTATTGCCACTGTGGGGCGTGTGGTTCTCTGGTGGATGCCGGTTATTGCCGCTGTGGGGCGCGTGGTTCTCTGGTGGATGCCGGTTATTGCCGCTGTGGGGTGTGTGGTTCTCTGGTGGATGCCGGTTATTGCCGCTGTGGGGTGTGTGGTTCTCTGGTGGATGCTGGTTATTGCCGCTGTGGGGCGCGTGGTTCTCTGGTGGATGCCGGTTATTGCCGCTGTGGGGTGTGTGGTTCTCTGGTGGATGCTGGTTATTGCCACTGTGGGGCGCGTGGTTCTCTGGTGGATGCCGGTTATTGCCGCTGTGGGGCACGTGGTTCTCTGGTGGGTGCTGATTCAATTCCGGACCCACGTGGCTCTAGGCTGTCTGGGGCCACAGCATACAGGAAAGTTGATAATCACAGGTGTGGCATGTTCCCTCTCCACTGCCCACCCCCAGCTGTGAGCCCACCCCTGCCCCTCTGGAGACACCAAGCCAGAATGCAGGAGTGCTGCTGTGAGAGTAGCTTCAAAACCGTCAAAACTTCTATCAAAAGCAGTTATTCCAAACCTTCTGTGTCATATTGTTGGGAATGCATTCCTTTTTGAAAGTCTGCACTTGGTCACGGGTGGGCTGGCACCTGCTATCGATGGATGTTTCTTCATCCTCTGAGCTCCCAGTGGGGCTTCAGAGCAGGGGCCAGAGCAGCCCCACACCCGCTCCCTCTGCAGATCGCTGCTGCTCAGCTTTTCATGGCCAGAAAAGCTCTTTTCTAATGGGAGTATTGACTTGGAGAATTTTCAAAGTTTGGCAAGAATCCACTGCAGCCTGGATGGGTTGATATTTATGCTGTGTTTGGTGTTGTTTGATTTTGTTTATCTGTTTTTAATCCCTTCTGTAATCAGAGCAAACGTAGGGATGTGAGAGGCAAGATGAAAGTGAAAACAGTAAAAATACAGCCAGAGTTTGTCTCCACCTCCTCACAACCTATTACATGAATGAAACGAAGGCTCTGAGTGACTCCTCCCCTAAAAGTGCAGTTGGCAGGAATGGGACCCAAAACAAAATGGCTTCTCCTTAGTCCCGTAGACTTCGGGTCAATGCAAGGTGCAGGATGCACTTAGCCATGTGTGAATCGTGGTCACCATGTTGCCAGCTCTGAAAACTGCAGATTTGACCCACCCTTTCCATGGGGCAGGGTTAACCTGAGAAGAGGCTATGCTGGGCTGTGGGGTCCATGCTCAGCTACAGGCGTGGCAGGAAGACATCTCGGCTCAGCACAGGGCGTGGCCGAGCAACCCGGCTAGTGTGGGGTCCAGGGAGGAGAAACCCAACAGACAGGAAACACTGTCTGAAACTTGGAAAGATACATCCTATCCAACCAAAATAAGGAAAGCCTCTCAAGAGAAGCGATGCTTTGAATCCAGAGTATGAGACCCAGCCGAGGCTGCTGGTGTTGGAATGTGGAGAAGAGTTGGGAAGATCAGCCCTCAAGGTCCGGAGCTGCTGGGAATGAGACAAATGTTGGGGTGAGTGAGCTCACAGCCACCCTGCCCTCCAGCCCATGCAAGGAAGCAGACAGCCCACCCACCGCCCTGTTTCCAGAACCTGGAACCTGGTGGCTGATGGAGAAGAAGGGGCAGATTTGTCTTCTTTCAGCCTAGAAATCCTTCCTCCACCTCTCTATCCACCATGCCAAAATGTCGGGGGGTGACCTAAGGCTGGGGCTGTGAGCTGGCCCACGTAGGAGCCACCATTTCCATTCATGTTTTAGATTCATTTATGAAACAGACAGAAATTGCCTAATTGAGAACTAGCTGGTCCATGTTTGAGGCCAACCTAAATAGAGAATTCTTGCCATTTTAAAACCCTGCGTCATTCTAAACAACACCTCACTTGACTAGGTGGCCTGGTTTTCTTGTTTCAGCATTTTGCCTCTACAGGATTGTTTTTGAGGAAATAGTTAAAACTGAGAATTTTATATGATAGGGATCTGAAGAAGAGAAATTGGAAATGGGGAAAAATGGTTTCAAAAATGAAGTTTATCTGCAATGTAGTTATTATGGACCAGACTCAGTGAACTGGGAACAGTCCACTGAAACTGTGCGGCCCAAGACAGTTGAGCTTTTGGTTGAGTGAATTTAAGCATTTGGGCTGAAGCTCTGAAGCTATGTTCGGTTAAACACTTATCAGTCTGCCAGCATGAATAAAAGGAGAAATGCCTGCCACATTCCTTAAGACACTCCCTATTTTTAACGAACTGTCTGTAGAGTTTGGGCAATGTAGTTCTTCCTCAAAGTTCCTTCCACATGGACTAGCTTCAGTGAATGTTTCTCATGTAAAATAGATGCTTTTATTTTCAGCCATGATGATTTTCTCCAATGATTCTACCCCATTTTGCAAAGCACCATGACAGTATTAAATGATGCCATGAGAAGCACGTGTCAGTCCCAGGTGACAACACAACTTCAGCAGAGCATCCAGTGTGTATAGTGTGCACGAGGTGAAGAAGGCTGGGCTGGGCCAAGACCTGGGAAGCAAATCCTATGACTTCTCCTCTTTGTGAATTAATGGCACCCCCTTTTATAGTCTGACCAAATATCTTAAAGATTTTATGACCCAATTCCTTTTCTCCTGGTATTTGAAATGGGAATTAAATGCAATAAAATCAATATAGTAAAATCGTATCAATAATTGGAGTGGCTAAATGAAACAATGGGTATCAGAAATTTTATTCTAATCCCTGCACTCCAGCCCCAGGGTAAAGTTGAGGTGATATGAGGCCTCGGTGGGAGGGATGGGTAACCCCGGCGCATGCACCTGCTTACCCTCAGAAGACCACAAAACTTCTCTCCAGAAAAAATTACACTTTCTCGGTCTGCTGAGGCCTCCCTGTGTCAGCTGAAGTTTTATTGTAGTCCTTACCATGGAAGAATTGTTTGCAGGATGTTTCAGCTCATTTCTTGAGCATTTCAATGGCATCACTGACACCAACCACTCTGAAAAGCTGGACTACTCAGTGGGATGCCCAGCATTTGGTGTAGTTGAGCCCAGCCTGCCATCTAAGGTGAGTGTGCACCTTCTCTGATTGCAGTCCATGCAGGTGAGCCATTAGAGCTTGCCGTTAGAGTCTAAATCCTGAGTGAGAATCACTCTGGGTATTTTGTGTTTCCTAATACTTGATTATTTGGCCCAAAAATTTAATATGGAGGCAAGTGCACACATACACCACATGCTTATAAACATGCACTATCTGGACCACTTTCTATTTTCCCCTAGTAATTAAGTGACCTTTGGAAAAGTTCATTCTTGGTTATATCTAAAACACACACACACACACACACACACACACACAGAAATCTTTAAGTAAAAAAGGGAAAAATCTTTATTTGGATTAGTTATAAAATAACCCAGTCCATTAATCTCCTGTCCGTTGATTTTTGGCTATCTGGACTCATTATCTGTGGCAGAGCTGTGTACTCTGTTTAGATGGAAAAGAAGAAAAGAGTCAGGAATCGGAGCAGAGGGGGAGACCACACATGCACTGTAAAGGTTACCACCACTGAGAATCACCAACGACGATGGAAAGAAATGAGCTGAAACATCCTGCAAGCAATTCTTTCAATGCTAAGGACAATAATAAAACTTCACCTGACACAGGGAGTCCTCAGTGGACTAAGAAAGCGTAACACTTTCTGCAGAGAAGTTTTGTGGTCTTCTGAGGGTGAGGAGGCTCTAGGAAATGTCTATTCCTTGAGGAACCCCTCATAATTCACAAGCAGCTGAACCTAAGTAGAGTTGCAAAGGTCATTCTTATTTTATAATATGAAGAAATATCCAAGGAGTCTTTAAACCCTTCATTTTCCTCCCATGGCTATGTGGTACTCGTACATCATAATACAGGATGATCTGCCTAACTGTAAGGATGTTCATTTCCTAAATATGAGGGGTGGGTTTCCCATGATGCTTCAGAAGTGTTGAGAGATACAGAGATGTGTGAGAATACCCTTAAATGCCTAAAGCATTGATTAGGAACCGGGTATTTAAGACACTGAGGAAACAAAGATAAACAGGATAACATTTATTAAGAAACAGTGAACCAGAGAAACAGATATGGAAATAGCCACACAATAACAAGATAATTGCTTTAATGGAGGTGCTACTACATTCCTTAAAGAGTCATCCAATTATTGCCAAGTGGGTAACATCTTAAATGCGTTACAGGATCCCATTGTTTGTAGGCCTCCTGCAGTGAAGCCCAAAGCCAAGAATCACTGTGAGAAGAATAGATGCTGAATTTATGCACTCCATGAATTCGAATGTTTGCATATTAGAGTTTCTTAAAATGGAGGACATGTTTAGAAATCACTGCATTCTACAACCAAATTATTTTTGAATAAGAGCTAATTATGTTTACATTTGTCATGAAGAAATATGAAAACATGCTATGCATGGTCAAATTAACCACCAAAGCCAAATGTGAAGACCCATTTAGCACTATTCAATTCCAAATTCAGTGTGAAGACACGGGGATTGCAGCGGGTCTGTAACGCAGGCATCTCTCTAATTTGCATGTGCCAAGCAGGATAAGCCTGGCAGTGAGCTGGTGCAGAAACAATGAGGTAATCGGGATGTGCACATTCTGCTTTGATGGCTTTTGAAATCAGAGAAAAGTGACAGAGTATTTCCTATTTAGGATGGGACTCACTTATCCTTATTTAAGACATGTCAAAATGTTCCTCAGGTTTTAGAAAAGATATAAATGATGGCCCAAGTTTGTTATAGCCCAACCAGTGGCTTGCAAGCAGTCAAGCCTTCCTGCCAGGAGACAGGTTTCCATCCCTTATCCATCTTTCCACCCCTCTCTCCATCATTTCCTCCCTCCAACCCTCCATCCATCCATCCATCCATCTGTCCTTCTACCCTTCCCCCATTCCTTCACCCCCCACCCTTCTTCCCTGTTTACCCATCCCTTCCTCTATTTCTCCCTCCATCCTTCCCTCCATCCCTTCCGTCATCCACCCCTCTATCCTTTTCTCCCTTCATCCCTCCTTCCAGCCTTCCCTTCATCCTTTCTTCCATCTCTCCCTTCATCCCTCCCTCCATCCCTGCATATCTCCCTCCATCCATTCCTCCATTCTTTCCTCCATCCTTCTATCCATCCCTCCCACCCTCCATCCCTCCTTCCATCATTCCCTCCCTCCATCCATCCATTCATCTCACAGACATCCTCAATAAGTACTATCTGCCCCAGGCGCAGGTAGCTGGAACACACAGAGACAAATAAGACAAACCCATTGCCCCTGAGAAGACCTCACAGTTTGAATTGTAACGCACACACGTAAGACTTGGCTGGGTGTCATGTTTAAAATGTAGCTCCTGGGCACTTAACCCAGAGCTACCAAACCATACTATCTTGGGCTGCACTTTTAACAAGGGCCCCACATGATTTTTAGTCATGATAAAATGTTAGAATTAAGCTCTGGGAAGAGTTTGAAGTGAGGACAAATAATGACAGTTAATCTTCTGGTGCCATTCTGGAGATGCACTGAGGGTTTTGTCAAAGCACTGAGGAATGAGGACCAGCTCCAGTCCCAGAAGTGAGGACCCTTTGCAGCAATGGCCCAGCTACACACAGGTGCTTCACAAAGACGTTACACACCCTTTAAAAAAATCAAACATTAAAATAAGAGGCTAATTTTAACTCTATACAAATATTGTTGACTTCTTGAAGAAACTTTATTTGTAAAAGGAAAACTTCAAATAACACAGAAAATAATCGGCCTTGCAATCTTAAAGATTCATCTATTAAAGTTATAAATCTTGACCAAGGAACCTACATGTGAGTAGCCAGATTTGCAGATACGAATGATAATAAATGCATTTATATATATGTACACATATAAACATGCAATACACTATAAATGTATTTATTATATACAAACACTTGCACATGTGTGTGCACCCACGTGTGGAGAAATATTCCTACTCTCTGGAAGCATATTTCTCTGTAGGAAGCACAGTGAGGAGTCCACGAGCCTCACAATGACAGCTTTAGACATCGCTGCTCATGGCACTTGACAGTCACAGCAAGCAGGGCGTTTGATAAAATATTTTCAAATGTATTCGACCAAAAGCCGCGGCCTGATCTCTTCCATACGAATGTCATTAGTTAACAAATTAATTATTCCACTTTCTGGAGATTACTAAACACTCACCTAGGCCACCCCGCCGCTTCTTCCATGTTTCCCGCCGTACCGCTGCTCCAGGAAACACAAAACAGCCTCCGGCCTCTGCCCATGAGTCTGCGTCTTGCCATGGCCCCTGCCTACTGCCTACCTGAAAAGTTAAAGACACACCTTGGCAGAAATAACCTTCATTGTGTGTCCAGTCTAGTTGTTCCGGCCTGTCTGAGTAACCTGCCGTGTAAGCATTTCTATAATGGGGCTACGGGCGTTTGTAAAAAGACCACTGGGGTGCTTGATGTCTGTTTTCTTTGAGAGGTTTGTATTTCATCAGTCTGGGTAGCAAAGGAAGCAGGAATTGTGTTTTAGGTTTGGGCTGCCTTTTTGTCCCTAGGAATTAGCATCCCTGTGGCATTACAGGTAAGTTGGATGAACCGAGGGCACAGGCAATCCCACCTCAGACGGCTCCTCTCACCATCGGCCCCACAGATAGTAGCTCACGGGCTGCTGCTTCCTTTTCATTTTATTGGACTTTGAGGTCTGCAGTTGATAAATCATCATCGTCTCTTTCCCCAGCCTCCTTTCTGCATGCTTTTTCTGTACAAAATTTTCTGTTACACATACACACTTTGCCTATTACAGGTATCATGTATTAATATGATGAGAAAAACAGTGTGCTGAGGTGTAAGGAAAATTACCTCTAGAGACTAAAAAATACCCTCAAAATTAAGTGGGGCCCATCTGAGCACAGAGAGGCAGTTTCATGTGGTGGTTGAGGTCCTGGACCTGGGAGCCCAACTCAGGATCTGAACCCTGGCTCTCCCTGTGAGGCCTTCTTTCAGCAAGTGACCCACTGTGCTGCAGAAAATTTGGATGGTAAGGGCACCCAGCTCACAGGGCCATGGTAGACAAAGGTAGAGGGTCTGGCACACATTGAGACCACAGCTTCTTCCCAGCAAAGCATCACTAGGTGCCTAAAGATTGTGTAACATCAGATGACTCCAAACTAAGCAATTATGGCATCAAAGTTAATCAAAACCAGGAGAAAAGCTAGTAGAAATCGAGTTAACTCAGCCAAGTCTGGGGCACATGAAATGATCTTGGCAATTGAATAAGAAACGGATCAAGCACTTTTCTCTTATGAGCTGAGGGATTTGTGTTCTGAGATGGCCACTTGCAATTGGAGTCAAAACTCAATAGCAGGAGAGGGCTGGAGACCAGAAATCTGGGCTAACAGAGGAAGGTTGTCAGATCGCTGGCTCTGCCACCATCAACACAAGTTGTCTCTCCCATTGATTGCGGGGATGGGGAAAAATGGACAACTCAAAATCTAGAGAGAGGGAAAACGGTAACTCTGCTTCCAATGTAATCAGAGAAATTCTTACAACTTAATCAATTAGACAATTTAGTCAAACAAATCACATGAAGCTTTGGGGTTTTTCCTCAAATAAATTGATATATCTCATCTGAATTAATCAAATTAACCAGTAGTGGTGTCTCTATTGGACAGATGCCATCACAGATCAGAATTACAACTTAGAGTGGGAGGGACATTGGAAGTCTCCAGTCCTGCACATGGGGAATTCTCTTTGATGTGTCTCTCCTCTGAGGTCAGGGGGCCAACGTCTTGTGCTTTCTGGAAGACTTTTGAATTCTCAACTCAAAATATCAAAAATATGCCATTCTTTACTGTAATATTTTTAATCAACAAAAGATATTTAACACCTGTTCGATGGCAAAAAAAAAAAAAACAAAACTGATGCTAGTTAGCCAGTCTATCTACTCTTTTATTTTTTATTTATTTTTTTTTTTTTTCTGAGACAAGGTCTCACTCCATCACCCAGACTGGAATGCAGTGGTGCAACACCAGCTCACTGCAGCCTCAACCTCCCGGGCTCAAGCAAACCTCCCACTTCTGTCCCTACTTCAGCCCCCCATGTAGCTGGGACTATAGACGTCCACCACCGCACCTGGCTAATTTTTTATTGTTTTGTGGAGATGAGGTCTCATTATGTTGTCCAGGCCACTCTAAAATTCCTGGGCTCAGGCAGTCTGCCTGCTTCAGCTTCTCAAAGTGTTGGGATTACAGGCGTGAGCCACCACACCCAGCAAGTGTGTCCATTCTTGCCTGCTTTGCAGATTTAAGACTTCGACTTCTTCGGATGAATATGACTGAAGAAAATGGCAGATGGCACCCTGAGCCCTGTCAACCAAAGCCAAGTGTTGCAGCCAATCTGACAACTGCAGGAGTATCTTTTCTGAAAATTTCCCAAACTGTTCAAATAGCCACCACCATACCATGGGGAAGGAAATCTCTGAAAAACCCTAAAAGCTCTCTGAATAATTCCAAATACATGGGTCCAGAATTCACTAGTGTAGTGTGTTAAAGTCTTCAAAGTGTGCGATATGTAGATGATTCACTGAGGTAAAGGAAAAAAATCTAGAACTTTTACTGATACTTTGATCTCAGCATTTTTATAACAACTTAATTGGGCTATAAATCAGATACCATAAAAATCACCCTTTAAAGTACAATTCAAAGGTCTTTACTATATTCACAGTGTTCTGCAACCATCATTCTTATCTTTGGATAGGAATTTTGGAACATTTTTCTGACCTCACAACAAACCTGTTAGCATTTTCCCCTCCCCTGGCCCCTAGCAACCACTGATCTTTCTGTCTCTATGATTTGCCTATTCTGGACATTTCAGGTAAATAGAATCACACATAAGTGAGCATTTGTGTCTGGCTTCTCTAAGTTTGGTGTCTTTAGGGTGTGGCATACGTCAGAACTTCATTTCTTTTTATAGCTGAGTAATATTCCACTGTATGGATGTCCAGAATCTCATTTATCCATTTGTCAGCTGATCCATCCAACATTTGGGTCATTTCTACTTTTTGTCTATTATGAATATTGCCACTGTGAACACTTGAATATGTGGTTTTATGTAGATATATGTTTTTATTTCTCTTGGGTATATACTTGGCAGTAGGATTGATGAGTTAAAATGTATTTAACATTTTGAGAAATTTCCAAGCTGGTTGCATCATTTTGAATCCCATCAGAAATGTATGAGGGTTCCAATTTCTCCACATCCTTGTCAACACTTGTTATTATCTTTCTGATTGTAGCCATCCTAGTGGGTGTGAAATGGTGTCTCATTGTAGTTTTGATTTTAATTTCTCTAAGTATTAATGATATTGAGCATCTTTTAATGTACCATTTGCCATTTCTATGTCTTCTTTGGAGAAATATGTATTCTAATCCTTGATCTATTTTTATTTGGGCCTACTTATTGCTGAGTTATAAAATGTTATTATGTATTCGGGTATATCATACCATTATCAGACATAGGAGAATGTCTTATCAGTGCCTCATCAGATATATGACTTACAAATATTTTCTCCCATTCTGTGGGTTGTCTTTTCATTTTCTTAATGGTGTCCTTTAAAGTACCAAACTTTTTTATTCTGATGAAGCCCAATTTATCTATTTTTTCTTTTCATGACTTGTGCTTTTGGTGTCCTAGCTAATGAATCGTTGCCTAAAGCAAGAGCACAAAGATTTACTTCTGTGCTTTCTTCTAAGGGTTTAAGCATTTCATCTGGAACCTTCAGTGCAACGTTGAGTAGAACCATCAGCACTGGTGAGAGCCAACATCTTTGCCCCAGTTCTGCTCTCAGGGGACAAGCCCAGCATTTCCCCATTTCACATGGTGTTGACTGTGGGAGTTTTGTAGATGCTGTTTATCAGGTTGAGGAAATTCATCTTTATTCCTGTCTGAGCATATCTCATCATTTTAAATTTATATTTTTGTATATGTTTTACAAATTAATAGAGTGATTTATAGATCCTCTATAAATGAGTGAGCATGCAAATGTGGAGAGAATGCTCTAAAGTACTTGGGGTGCATATCATGCAATCGAAGGTCACCAGCTCCAAGCATGGTGCCCTGAGGCCATGACCATGGCCAGCCTAAGCCGGGAAAGGCTCACAGCTGCACATCCTCTACCTGCTGCCTCTCAGATGCCTGCCAACACCCTAGGACGGCCCATGGCTGAATCGACCCTGACTCAGCCCTCCTTGGGAAGAAGTCTCTATTACCACCCTTACACACAAAAGAACGTGGGCAAAATTCACTGATTATCCAGGTATTCCCTACTGTCATAGAAATATCCAAAATCATAAAATACCATGCAAGGGAAGAGATAATGCATCATTGAACAGGTCATCCAGCCCTGGAAAACATTCCCGTCCTATCTAAATGTGTTTAAGAGAAAAAAAAAAAAAAAAAAAAAAAAAGGCACTTCTTCTACCTGGCTTTAGTAGTTCTGAGGCCCTGATTCACAGCCCCTGGTCCGGAGCCTTCATGAGGAGCATCAGCAAATCGGGATAACCACCCCTGCCTGGTCCCGCCCACTCTTACAAACGCTTCTGTCCAGTCCTATTTCCCAGAACAAACCAAGCCCCCAGGTGGTTCGCGGCTCCAGAATCAGGGACCAGTGCCTGGCAGGGATGTTGTTTGTCCCACACCATCGAATAAACAGATCTTAAAAGCAGCCATCAGGGAGGCGGAGGGATTAATGAACCCTCTAGACCAACACCCACTAGAGGACCCAGATGGAGCAGCCAAGTGCAGGGGAGCTGATGGGGCAGAAACCACCACCTGGATCCCAGCAAGGGTCAGGAGACCAAGACACTCAGCCTAAAGACATTTTCTACAGAACCCAGGCGCCCTGGGTGTGACTCAGGCACCCAGCCAGGTCAGGCCACAGCCTTCGCACATGGACAGTGGGTTCAGAATTTCAAAAGGTCAGGGCATCCTGCTTCTGGTCTGAAAGAGCTTAAACAAGGGATACATTTTTAGAGATTTAATCATTTAAACTCTTAAGAATCACTGGAACAAATTTAACAGTAGAGGTTTTTATTTTTTTATTCACATGTTCATTACTGTGAATGCCTAGATTTCCATTTAGAAATAGTCTGACAATTTTCACATCTCAACTGGCAGCAGGCACAGAATGCAGACAGCTGCCGAGATGCTCTCTGTCGTGCTGAAATGTAATATCGCAGTGCTTTGTTAAATCCTTTATCTGCATACCTGCCACAGGCTGCCCACACTGGGGTGTGAACTTCATATTTAATCAGAGCAGTGTGTCTGAACCAGATATGTCATAAATTAGCACAGCAACTAACTTCTGCAGACCTGCTTTTTTTTTTTTTTTTTTTTTTTTTAAGACAGGGTCTTGTTCTGTCACCCCAGCTGGAGTGCAGTGGTGCAATCATGGCTCACTGCAGCCTTGACTTTCCCACCTGTGTTCAGGTGATTCTCCCACCTCAGCCTCCCAAGTGGCTGGGACTGCAGACACACACCACCATGACCAGTTATTTTTTCTATTTTTGTAGAGTCGGGTGTCTCACTATGTTGCCCAGCCTGGTCTCAAATCCCTGGGCCCAAGTAATCCTCCTGCCTCATACATCTCAAAGTGCTGGGGTTACAGATATGAGCCACTACGCTTGGCCTTGTACTGCTTCTTGGTAAGCAAAATGAAATCGAAGTTTTACATGCCAAGCTCTGGAGGGGGATTTTTACGCTGGCATAATCCCATCCCCTCTGTTCTGTAAACACTCCCAGGAGGCTGTCCCGCTCCAGGAATGTCTGCAAAATATGATGATAAGAATAATTGAAGTATGTAATAATGTTTGCACTGTTCAAGAAAAAAAAACAGGACGCGGGTTTGAATGGAATAACTGAACGTTACGTGGTTGATTTTCAGGTAGTGTCTGCTCATTTCATCACATTGGCGTGGTGTCTACCAATTCCCTAACACAACTTCTAAACCCACTTTTCCACCCTTAAGAGCCTTTCTTCGAGGCCAATGCCATTTTGCAGTCCTATCCCTTCCACCCTCCACTGCTGTTAACTGCCAATTTCCTGGATGCTGCCCTTCGTTGACTACAGTCAGGGGTTCCAGAATCCCTCCTTGCCTCCCATAGAGGGGTCCCTGTGCCGCCACAATCGCTCATCTCCACGTCATGGGTGTTGTCCTTCCAACACACACTGACTCCTCTATTTCAACATTTCCGGAGCCTGCGCTGCCTCTCCACGCCTGCTGAGCTGCTTCATGTGGGTCCCACCATTTCCCGACTGGGTTACTGTAAGGCTTCCTCGCATGTCATTTCCTCCAGTGCAACTTCCCTGCAATCCGTGCCCCCAGAATGCGGAGGCGCCTTGCTGTGGGGAGGCGCTGTGAGGAGGCGCTGAGTACTGGTGAGACACTGAACTGTGAGGAGGTGCTGTGCTGTGAGGAGATGCTGAACTGTGAGGAGGCGCTGAGCTGTGAGGAGGCGCTGAGCTGTGAGGAGGCGCTGAGCTGTGAGGAGGCACTGAGCTGTGAGGTGCTGAGCTGTGAGGAGATGCTGAACTGTGAGGAGGCGCTGTGCTGTGGGGAGGCGCTGAGCTGTGAGGAGGCGCTGTGCAGTGAGGCGCTGTGCCGTGGGAGGTGCTGAACTGTGGGTAGGCACTAAACTGTGACGAGGCGCTGTGCAGTGAGGAGGCGCTGTGCAGTGCGGAGGCGCTGGGCAGTGAGGAGGCGCTGTGCCGTGGGGAGGCGCTGGGCAGTGAGGAGGCGCTGTGCAGTGAGGAGGCGCTGTGCAGTGAGGAGGCGCTGGGCCGTGAGGAGGCGCTGGGCAGTGAGGAGGCGCTGTGCCATGGGGAGGCGCTGGGCAGTGAGGAGGCGCTGTGCAGTGAGGAGGCGCTGTGCAGTGAGGAGGCGCTGGGCCGTGGGGAGGCGCTGGGCAGTGGGGAGGCGCTGGGCAGTGGGGAGGCGCTGTGCAGTGGGGAGGCGCTGTGCCGTGGGGAGGCGCTGGGCCGTGAGGAGGCGCTGTGCAGTGAGGAGGCGCTGTGCAGTGAGGAGGTGCTGTGCCGTGGGGAGGCGCTGGGCAGTGAGGAGGCGCTGTGCAGTGAGGAGGCGCTGGGCAGTGAGGAGGTGCTGTGCCGTGGGGAGGCGCTGAACTGTGAGGAGGCGCTGTGCCTTGGGGAGGCGCTGAACTGTGGGCAGGCACTAAACTGTGACGAGGCACTGTGCAGTGAGGAGGCGCTGTGCAGTGAGGCGCTGTGCCGTGGGGAGGCGCTGTGCAGTGAGGAGGCGCTGTGCAGTGGGGAGGCGCTGGGCAGTGGGGAGGCGCTGGGCAGTGGGGAGGCGCTGTGCCGTGGGGAGGCGCTGGGCAGTGGGGAGGCGCTGGGCCGTGGGGAGGCGCTGGGCCGTGGGGAGGCGCTGTGCCGTGGGGAGGCGCTGGGCAGTGGGGAGGCGCTGGGCAGTGGGGAGGCGCTGGGCAGTGGGGAGGCGCTGTGCCGTGGGGAGGCGCTGGGCAGTGGGGAGGCGCTGGGCCGTGGGGAGGCGCTGGGCCGTGGGGAGGCGCTGGGCCGTGGGGAGGCGCTGGGCAGTGAGGAGGGGCTGTGCTACCAGAGGCGCCGTGCCGTCGGGAGGCGCCGTGCCATGGGGAGGCGCTGTGAGGAGACGCTGAGCTGTGAGGAGGCACTGTGTTGTGGGAAGGAGCCCTATGGGTTTAACATTCTTGTGCTTCCTGTTTTTCTTCTTTTTCTTCTGCTCATTTCCTCCTCCATCTTCCTCGGCTTTTATAAAAATAGTCAAATTTCATGTTGGGATCCAGAGAAAAGTTACTTTCCCAAGTTCATATAAAAACAGTGACAGAAATGGTTACTTTTCAGAGTTCATAGAAAGACAGTGACAGAAACGGAATTAGCACAGGGTCATCTCCCTCGTGGGGTCTCGCCTTTCCTGCCAGATCACCCTTCTCAGTTTGCCCACGTCACAGAATGGTTCAGATAGTTCAGCAGTTACACTTTTGCCCCTCCATGGGTGCCCACCTGGAGTTATTGGATAGTTCTGATGTTTTCCTAGTGAGGGACTCAGTCAGTTACCAAGGCACTTCCCCAGAGCATCATAATTAGTGAGTTAAAATCGGCTCAGCCTTGTGTGCTGCAAAGTTCCTAGCAGCACAGTAAAGCTGAAGATAGTGACTTCCTGTTCTCTGTGTGTTTCACTCTGTGGACAAGACACCAAAATGGGTAAGTTTTACCAAGTATGGGGGGAATGGTCAAATTCACTTGCATTCAGTTTTCCAAGATAAGAGTATCTTACTGTTTACATATCTACTGTTTTAACTTTTTATTGCCTTCTCTCTTCGATTCGAATGGTTTCCTGTGAGAGAGTTGATTAGTAAACTATCTCAGCAAAGCAAGTATTGTAAACTTAGAGAAACTATATTCTGAGGCGTTAGGAGTTTAAACAGGAGAATCACTATGTCCCGGGCTTTGGGATGATTAATTCACCTCCAGAATGAACAGCTTGTTCTCAGGTGCGGATATTCTAATGGCAGTCGATGGCTCTTAGGCATCTGTTTTCAGAAGTGCAGGTGCCCAGTGCTTTCCTCCGTCCCACATGGTCTTCCTTCTCCCAGGACTGAGAAGGAAGCTTGAGTCTCTAGTACAAGAAAGATGTGGGAGGACTTCAGGGGCTGTCTCACAACCGCCTGGTGAACAGTCTCCATGGAGGAGGAAGGCGGAGCTGGAAAAACAGATGGGGTCCCGGGGTCTTGTCCCGTTTTGAATACTTTTCTTATTTCTTTTCCTGAGTGACAGAAATATTTAAATATGGAGGAAGTCAGCTTCCAATTCCACTTTACATTTCACCCAAACTGTTTGCAGTGAGTTACATGCGGGAGTGCTACTCAGTCCCTCCCTAGGAAAACATCAGAATTATCCAGTACATGCAGGAGTGCTGCTGGAACGTGAGGATATGAACCCTCGCCCCAAACAGCTAAAACATAGGAGGTGAGAGCATAGAATACACTTGGGGTGCAGGAGCGGAAGCAAAGTGTTAGGCGTGCAGTCGGAAGTCCTCATGAAGAGGTGAAGAGAGGTGCGGCATGAAGTTGTCATGGCCCCAGCGTTCGGGATGTTCTCATGAGGAGGGACCCCCCGGTAGAGGACTCTGTGTCCACGGAGGTTCATGGACACTATCTGTGACATGTCAGGCTGGGTCCTTTGCAGAACCCCTGAGCAGCATGTGGAGCAGACACTGTAGCTTCCCTTCCCAAGAGTACAGATTTGTAGGTTTGGCGTGAGGCCCAGAACTTCGTGTGAGTGTAAGTGCATGTTTAAGCTTTTAGTTCTGACAATTGTAGATTCACAGCGTTCTAGGACATAGTACAGAAAGAGCCCATGTACCTGTGCCCAGTGTCCCTCAGTAGTTATACCTTGAAGAGCCGGAGCACAACGCCTCACAGACAGACAGGCATTGACAATCCCCTGGCTCGCTCACGTTTCCCCAGTTTTAATTGTACTTGCGTTTGTTTAGCTCCATGTAATTTTATCCCAGGTGTAGGTTGTGTGCCCACCTGCACTGTCAGGACACAGATCACCCATCCCACAGGGCCCCTTGATGACCATGCAGCCACCTTCCAACCCCACTCCCCATAACTTTAATATCTGGTGGCCACTGGTCTGTTCTCCATTTCTATAATGTTGATATTTCATAAATATTATATAAATGCAATCATGCAGTATGTATTTGGAATCATGTCTTTTCACTCAGCATAATTCTTCACACACTCATCCAGGTCTTGCATTCATTCATATTTCGTTCCTTTTCATTGCTGAGTAGTATTCCACAATAAGCCACATTGCAATTCGTCTAAGCATTAACCTGTGAAAGAACATCTGGGCGGATTCCAGTTTGGGGCTCATATGAACGCAGCTGCTATAAACATCACTACAAATTTTCTGTGTGAACATAAATTTCCATGCCCTCTGGGGTAAATGCCCAAGAGTTTAATTGGTGGTTTGCATTGTAATCACGTTTAGTTTAATAATAAACATCCCTCCAGAGTGGCTGCACTGTTCCACCTCTCAGACAAGGCATGAGGGACCCACCCGGGCCCTTCTCAGCCTTTATTGTGGCCACTGCTTTTCACAACAGCCATTCCGTGATGTGTGGACTCATATGGTACCTCGTGTGGTTTTCATTTGCATTTCCTGAATGACTAATATAGTTTAGCATCTTATCATGTGCCTATCCATATATCCATGTATCGTCTTCTCTGAAAAGTCTTTGTGTCTTTTGCCCATTTCTGATTTAATTGTTTGTTTTTGCTGATAAGTTTTGAGAGTTCTTTGTGTAGTCTAGACACTAGTTCTTTGTCAGGCAAGTGAGTTGCAGATATTTCCTCGCAGTTTATGGCTTGTTGTTCATCCCTTTAAGGCAATCTTTCACAGAATGAAAGCTTTCCATTTTGATGAAATCCATTTCTTCCATTTTTCCTTTTATGGATGGTGCTTTTGGTATTGAATCTAAGATATCTTCATCTTGCTCTAGATCCCAAAGATTTTCTCCTTTATTTTTTCCTAAAAGTTTTATAGTTTACGTCTGTGGTCTACTTTGAGTTACTTTTGTGTAAGATTTTGTATAAGACATGGAGATGTGGGATTTACAGTTTACTTTTTTTTTTAAGGCTGTGTTTCCTCCACTGAATTACCTTTGTACCTTTACTGGGTTCTCTATTCTGCTCTATGGACCCATGCATCCGTCCATCCACCAACATCACATGATCAATTACTATAGCTATAGAGTAAACCTTAATATTCAGTAGAGTGATTCCTTCCACTTTATTCTCCTTTTTCTTAAAGTTGGCATTTCAGTTATTCTAGGACTTAAACATTTATATACATATTTTAGAATAAGCTTGTCTATGTCTACAAAATATTTGCTGGTATTTTGTTAAGAATTGCACCACACTATAGGTCAATTTTGGAATAATTGACATTTCTTCTATTTCAGTCTTCCAATCTGTGAATACGGCATGTCTCTCTATTAATTTAGGTCTTCTTTGATTTTTTTGTCAGCATTTTGTAATTTTCGTCATACATATCCTAACAGTGTTTTTTTTTTTTTTTTTTACAATTTCAAAGTATCCCATAGAATCTGTGAAGTATGATAAAGAGGATGATGACAATATTAACTAAAATTTAGATAGACTTCCTCAGATTCAGATGCAGTTCTGAATGTATTACTGTGTTAATTCATTTCACAAAACAAAAAGGGCTTTCCTCCTTTATTAACCTTCAATACTTTTTGAAATTCTGATATACTTTTTAAAAACTTTCCACTAACCAACCAAAGAAGGGTACTGTTTTCCTGATTCTAATAACACCATTGTAGTAAGTGTATCAGGGTAGTGTCAGCTTTCTCCTGGTGCCAAATGTGGTACAGAAAGTTGAATCAAATCTGTTCCAAGTATGGGCTACTGATGCCATCTTATTTATGTACATCATGAAAAAGAGAGCAATTACATTAACTTGAATTTTGAAATAATTTAAAATTATACACTTAATGCCAAATGTTTTTTCCTTAAGTAACTTGGGTAGAAATAATTATAAATGCCATACCTTTTCTTCTTGAATAGAGTGTATCGAGTATAACATTTTTTTCTAGACTTTCCATTCTTCTGGACATAGAAGATAATATTGTATTACAGTGGGTGATGTGCCAGTGGCTCTTATGATCTGTCAATTTTCCATTTTTCCTTCACTTAATGGCTCCAAATGACCAAATGGCTTAAATTCCCTTGCCTGTTTTGTTAATATTGTATTCTCCTTCCTCAATATTAGCCTCATAGGTATCATCTCTTCTTTTCTCATCATTCTCCAATCTGGTAAATCTCCCTAAACTACCTAGATTAATTGCCACATTGCCTAAACCAAAGACCTCTGTAGTAAGTCATGAAGAAATCTAACTCAAATACTCAGTTTGGAGAATTAGAAGAAGTACAAGGAGAGAGACAGAAGGTCAGAGCAGCATTTGAATTTAAACTAGAGTCCACCTTGCTCTGAAGCCTGGGCTTTTTCTTCCATCCTATACTGAGTTTTTTGAAAAAGACAAAATAGTTCCCAAGACAAGGTTCTTAACAAATGGGCTGAGTCCTTTCTACCAACAGAAAGTGCCCATCCGAAATTATATCCATCTCTCCCATCACCTCTCACCAAGCTTCAAGGGCTTCATTAAAAACACAGCCAGGAATGTTGAATCCTGCAGTTTCTCTGCCCTGAGTTATTTAGAAATATCACCAGGTACCAACTGGTGTCTCCTGAGTCCAGGGCTGGGTGGTCAGAGGAGGGAGGAGGAGGCAGGATGGAAACAATGCAGAGGGAGCATTTCTGTGTCTTCTGTGGCTCTCATCCCTCACCGAGAACCCAAAGTCCTCCCCCAGAGCCTCTCTCCTCCCCTTCTCATTCATGCTCCCTTCCTCTCTCTTCCCCTTCCCAATCAGCTGTGGGACACACATGCCCACAGGCAGGAATGATGTCCATGGAACCTACTTAGCCTCCTTCCTTCTACATTAGAGTACAGGGCTTACCAACCCATGCCATTTTCAACCTAGACAAAAGCCCTCGTAGCTGGGAAATTCTCCCTGGAACAGAGTATGATGATTTGTTTAAGAGAAGGAGGATATTAAAATAGTAGCATCAGTAGCACGGTGGCTCACACCTCTAATCCCAGCGCTTTGGGAGGCTGAGATGAGAGGATTGTTTAAGGCAGGGAATTTGAGACCAGCCTGGGCAACATAATGAGACCCCCATCTCTACAAAAAAATTTGAAAATATTAGCAGGGCGCAGTGATGAGCACTTTTAGTCCCAGCTAGTCAGGAGGCTGAGGCGGGAGGATCACTTGAGCCCAGGAGTTCAAAGCTGCTGTGAGCTAGGATCGTGTCACTGCACTCCAGCCTGGGAGACAGGAAGACCCTGTCTCTAAAAAATTAAAATTAAAAGTTAGTAGCATACTTCTGTATCTGAGGATGGCAGGCAGTGCAGTCACCTTTGCTCTCAATGGGCTGTTTTCAGGCAGGATAGGCAGGGATCTTCCGGATGAGGACAACATCATGGGCTTGCTCTCTGCAAGAGAGAAGAGGTGATTTCCATGAGGCAAGATTTGGACAGTGCTTCTGCAAAGTGTGTAGGAGGAGAGATCTGTATGACACCATCATATGGGGAGAACTATAAAGAGCCAATGGGATGGATTTGGGTTCCAAATTATTTATACTGGTTTTTAACTACAGAGTCATATGGTACCTCAGTATGACAGATGGAAGTCAGAATGAAACCTGTTGTTTAGGTTGTAGGAACTTTACATTCTAATGTCATCAGAACATTTCACAGTAAAATATGTTCCCACTGAACAATGAATCCCAATGACCCTGTGCTGCCACAGGCTCTGAATCTGGGCCAGTTCATTTCTGTTTACAATTACAATACGGCACTGCACATCCACAATGCCCCACCTCCAAAATGTTTTATTACAGTGCTTAAAAAACAGGAAAGAGGCATTTTATCATTTGCCTGCCGGCCCATTGTATTCTAATATTTTTTTCTTAAGGAATTATTTTATCATCTGTCTCTTATTTTGTAGCTCACCACATCATCTCTCATTATAGAAAAATAGGACCAACAGACTGACAGCAAATCTCAGCATCGCTGTTCTCTGGCAGAAGGACAGCTATAAAATCAACACCAAAGCTACCAAATAATTCATTGTGGAAAAATTCTCACTTTGCAGATAGTTGTTAAATTTGTATATATTATGACTAAGAACTATCTGATACACCATGGTCCAATGGTTTTTCTTAGCCTGAGAGGGGGCACTTTGCCTTCACCAAGGAGATACCCTAAGACGTGAAATTGAGGTCTTGCCTGAGCTCAGATACTGGCCTCCTCAGTAAGCCCAACACCCCTAAAATCAAAGTGACATCTACATGGTGTGATTTGAAAGATGCTAGATACCAGACCCTAAATCTGGATGATCTAGTTGGACAAATCACTGCCTTCACCCTTTTAAAATTCACATACTTTTGGGGAGCCCTACTTTGCTATGTTAAAGACAATGATGTTTATTGAGACTCACTCCATTCTCCATAGCACATCATGGGACACCAGAATGGCAAGAAGCATCCTACCAGCCTCATGGGAGGGACTCAACTTCAATGCATGCTTTCCATTTGAATGGGAGTGGTTGGGCGGCTGGAGGCCACTGTGAGTCTGAGGATGGAGGCAAGATGTGAAGATGCTGGAATGAGGAATGGGAAGGGAGTAGTAAGAGGTGAGCTGAGGCCTGGTCTACATGAGCATAGCCCCAATGCTGTAGAGGGTGAGGATAGTGTTATGTGCACACACTGCTGGTGGGCTGCACCTTGCACAAAACAATTTGGCAATACACACCAAAAACTTTAGAAACGTTTACACATATTGGTCCAGTAGTCCCACTGCTGGGAATCCATACAAAGGAAATATTTATATTCATAAGGAAAAGACAACATGGCGACTCTCTAACTAGCCAGGCATTCAGCTACATCATTACATTTATACTGTCTAATTCCCAGAAGTCATGTTCCAGGAAGTAAGTACAAGCTAAGGTAGGTACTCGGACAGGGCACAGAA
Organism: Homo sapiens; assembly: GCF_000001405.40. NCBI lineage: Eukaryota > Metazoa > Chordata > Mammalia > Primates > Hominidae > Homo > Homo sapiens. The sequence continues at coordinate 1,319,718 of NC_000010.11, read as the reverse complement.
TGCCTTGGCATTCAAGACAAAGAGGGAAACATGCATTGCATAGTCCCCAACACTCTGTAGAAGGAAAAATGCCAGCTATCCATTCGTCATGGAATAGACTCTTTTCAAGTTCTGATATAAGAGGAATTTGTGCAATGAGTTCTTATCAACCAAGATGTGATTATAATCATTTTGTTTGAGATCTTGCTAATCCATAGCTATTATCTGAATATGTCTTTTATTTTGCTTTTTATTTTGATTATGATGGAGGGTTTTTGATACAGAGAAAATTTTAATTTCCAGGTGATCTATCTGTCAGCTGTATGACTTATCCTTCTGCTTTTATGCTTTGAAAGATCTTCTCCACCCACCCCCAGGAAGTTTGGTAAACATTCATGTTTGCTCTTCTGTGCTATTTTTCTGTTTTATTCTACCTACCCATAATACATCTTGAGGTATGATCCACAGGCAAGATCATGCTTTCTTGTGACAGTCGGCCTAGAAACCTTTACTGAACTTACTTCCTCATTGTTTTGGGGTGTCCCTGCTCTTATACTATATGCTGTATCTCTGTGTGTAAGGAAGTCTGTTCCTAAGACACCAGCCCCATCCTATAGATCTGGCCTTATTCTTCACTCTGTTTTCGTCACTGTCACAATGTGGCATGGGTCAGCATCTGAGCAGGTCACATGTCCCACTTACTCTGAGCTCCTTGAATCTTTTTTTATCATCTCCAGCCAGGATTTTGGATGGAGTTATAAGCAGACGACAGAAATTAAGGCCGCTGGCCACATTCATAAGCCTTTGGAGCACGGTCCATCTACCCTGGGTCATTTTCTGCTGGAACAGATGCCTGTCTGGAGGCTGGCAGACCCTTTACCCACCACGGGAATTTGTGGGGTGTGATCTGAGAGATGCTTTCTCCAGTGGAGATGTGGGAACTAGATTATTCCAACTGTGGCCAACACAGTAACGAGAGATTCCCACACTCCCCGATATTCCTTCTGACAGGGACAAATTATACTTTGACAACACTTTAGAGGTCACAGAAGGCATTCCCAAACACAGTCTCGAGCAGCCTTTGTATCAATGCTGAGTTGAATGAGCAAGTATTGTTGCCCCACTTGTACACGAGGACAGCAGTGCCCAGAGAGATCAGGTGGAATCTGAACCCCAGCACTCTGCGATGATGTGTGCACTGAGAAATCCACAAAGGCATGGATGAATAATAAGTAAATGAATCCAAACCACTCCCCACACCAGGAGTGCAAATGGTACTGCTTGTTTCTAGCAAATGGTCTGGCTTTCCCACATCCCTCCGGCCCAGCCCATGATCTCTCTCACTCCTGCATGGTTCTCAAATTCTGCAGGGAGCTGTCAGTGTTTGAATTTAAAGGGAGCTTCTAGTATCTTATGGGCTGTAAGAGGTTGCAAAAATAAACAAATGGTACCAAATCATACCATGATGGGCTTTACCACGTTCCTGTTACAGGATCCGTCACCTGTGACTACACGCTTCTCTGTGGGTGGATTTTTTGCTGTTTTATTTGATTGATTGTGTTACTGTGAAACTAATAATAAGTAGCAGAAACTGACATAGATTTTACAGTGTCTAACAAAAGTATAGTATATTCTTCACCATCTTAAATTGCCCAGCTATGCAGAATGCAGGTTTATGAGTGGCCAACACTTCACACCCAGTCAGAGGAGACAGGGCCTTCTCCTAATGTTAGTGTTTTTATAGATCAGGGTCCAGCAGTTACCTGGCACTCACACCGGGGATTGAGGGAGGGTCGAGTAAAGGGGCACTGGTAGGGAGTAGGCAGGCTTTAGGGAAGTGACGGGATGGGTACCAAGCTCAAGACGGGAAGGCTGGGGTGCAGAGAGGCAGCCATGTGTCCAGCCACCCCTACAAGCTGGGCCCCCAATGGAGGGGCGTGGCCGGCCCACAGAGACCAGAGCCACACAAACTGACCCACCCCCCCCCAGGCCTACCCCTGCCTGTGCCCCCTGCTGATGGGCTTTTGGGGGACCCAGGGGCACGGAGCCCTCAGTACTGCCCAAGGAGTGAGAGAGGCAGATGGATGCACCAGCAACATCAGGGAATTGGACTTACCCCAAAAACATTGCCAACTCCTGCACCAAACCCAAACCAGAAGATAGCGCCTAAGAAAGGGATGTCTTCCCAGAAGTGATCTTGTTTATATAAGACTCTCCCAGAGCCATCAAAACTAAATCATGTTCACTTAAATGTTTAATAATTTCCCTTCACCAAAAATTAAAAAATTATGTGAAACCCTCAGTGTTCTAGAAAAATCCGTACAACAACTTACGAAGACAATCGACTATGCCTGTCAGGCTCGTGGAGATTATGGGATGTTTTGTAATTACACTTGGGATTATGCCTGATTATGTAAGTGATATTCAGTGATTAAGTCTCAGGGAACATTATCTGGTACAAGGTATAGAAGATACGGCATAATAATTATTTTTAAATTATGTCTGCCTGCCTCCATTCATTTTTTTCTAATATAAGTAAGACTTTAAGCACAAGTGAGGGAACTAAAAAACATAAAAATCGGCTAAAAGTGAAGCAGAGCAAGGCTGTCAGCAAAAACATACAGGAAGGGAGGGGCCTACGCCACAGCCTTTCTAAAAATGGAATTATTTTATTTTGCCACGGCAGTGCCCATAAAAATGATTTTTCCTTCCAGCCTGAGCAGTGGCAGCTCAAGAGGAAATGGACCAGATCTTAGACCGGGGCTTTAACTGGGAGAAAAATGTCCAGGCTGCGTTTTGCATACAAGCATGCACAGACACACGCACACAAAACTGCAACCTTATGCCTCCGGAGTGAGGAGCTAAGCACATTACTCATTCGCGGAAAAACAATGGGAAAATCTATCATTTTAGTATTTCCTTCTCAGGGCAAAATTCAATGAAAATCTAGTTAAGTTTTAGCCAAATGGCATTTTCATTAATGCAAAATAAAGACTTTGAAAGCAGCCTTGTCACTTTATAGCCAGGCCAGTGCACATGGGGTGTGGGGAGGGCACAGCAATAGAGGGCCCTGCTTCTGCGAGATTCTCAGGGCTTTGTGCTGTTTTGTGATCTAATAAGTACTGCTCTGAATACATAAGATTTACGGTTGTACCATTTTTTAAACAATCCTATTCCGGGTAGGAGGAAAACCAATGACTCCCAGAATGACTGGGATTATTTTAGATCAAACCAAAAAGGGGACTCTGGAAAATAATGAGGCCAGCACAGGGCATGCACCGTGGCCGACACTGCCATCAGCACCTTGCACGTTGCCACTCACAGGAGTCCTGCAGCAACCCCACAAGGCAAGGGCTGCGACAAGGCCACGTTATGGGTGAGGAAGCTGGGTGAGGCGAGCCTGGACTCAGGGAAGCCGCCATCACCACGGCAGAGCAGGGCCCAAGCCCAGCAGCCTGGCACCATCCACTCCCTTCCCTGCTGTGTGACGCCGCCTGTCACAGGGATGTGGGAGCTGACTCGGAAGGGGAAATGAACTCGCTTCAAAAATTAAACGGCAAGTGGGAGCATCTCTGCTGCCCCATCTGAGCAAGAAGGAAATTAAGAACTGCAAAGTTCACACTCAGTCTTTAAAAAAATTAAACTTTTAACATTAATTGCTCCTGAACATTTGTGAGTGCCCAAAATCCTGACATAAAAGCCTTAATTTCTATGCAAAGCAGATAGGATGATTGAGTTATAATTAAAATGGTAATTATACCCTTAATGCTCCATATTTGACTTTTCAAAAAACTGTTATGCTCCAAGAAAAGCTATTTAAAGATCAGAGGAAAATGTTTGAAAATGAATGTATTCAAGACATTTTAAATCTTTTAAAATCCAGTTATTGATTTTTACATGCTTTCAAGTGTAGTCTAAAACATTTTCTTCATTTATTTTGGTCGATGGAAATAATAAAAAATCATTGGAACGTGAAAAGCTTAAATGAAGGCAATATTCTGGAGGCTGATATTTAACGTGGTAAATATTTGAGATGCTGGGGCATAGGGAAGGGGCGTCTTCACCTGCATAGGGGCCCCTCAAAGCCCCTCCCTGGGAGGCCAGGGTAGGGCCCATTGTGGGAGCAACCACGGCACCTCCCTTCCTGGCTTCCGAGGAGCCCCTCTGAGCTTGAGCCCTACAAATATGACATTTCCTTTGATCCCTCATTGACTGTTTAGAATTAAAAAAGAACACCTAAAGCTATAAATCAAATGTCAGGTGCAGCAGTCTAGTGGAACCATATCAATATTTCATGATGTATGGCTTGCTGGGAGGCTTGGAAACATCAGCCATGCCAAACGCCACGCTCAGGACGCTTTGCGCTCACTCAGCCGTGCTGGGTGCCCCAGCAGCAATCAATGAAGGCGGAAACCTTGGAAGCCATGTGCGCTGGCTGGGGCTGATGCAGAGGCCCAGGAGCCCCTGCAGACCCTCACCCTGTCACCTGCAGCACCTGGTGCCTGGCTCGGCTCTTCCGGAGCTGCCTCCTGATCTCTCCCTGCAAGCCCCCACCCCGCTGAGGGGAAGAAGAGTCTGCACCAACTCAAATCATCCCTGGCCTCCCCTCCTGACCACTTTCCCAAACTCCCAGAGAGACTCGGTGGGGAGAGGAACTCAGGGCTCCCTGCCCAGGACCCCTTAACTGTACGCTACTTCGTCATGTTGGAACCTCGGGGCGGCTTCTCTCCGTGAGAAGGGTGATGATCAGGAAGGGGTGGAGAGTGCGGCTGACACCCTCTGCGTGAACTTCCCTGTTCCCATTAGGATAATAAAATAAATTCTGGGGAATTTTGCACCAACAGTGAAATATCTAAGGCCAGACAGGGCCTTGAGTTCACTCTGAACCCCACAGTGTTCAGAGCAGCCCAGGTGCAGGCATCCGAGGCCATGTTCCTCCTGGAGAGCCGCTGAAGCTTTCAGACATCCGGGAGCACTTTTGTTGCTTCTGTTTGGGTCGTGTCTAACAGAGATGCTCTCAGGGGCCCCTCTCCCGTCAGGTGGTTGGCAGACTATCATCACATCTTGGGCACCTCAGACTCAGCTCTGCACCTTCGCATGCCGTATTTGAGACCCTCCTGCGAAACCCTAAGCTCAGGTCTGTCACGTGGGTCAGAAGCGGCCGGAAGGCCAGGGCAAGTGTGGGAAGAGGTCTCCCTGGAGGCCGGGCAGTGGGGAGGATGGAGGGGCACTGGCCGTGGAAGGGCCGATGTGGGAAGGAAGAGGTGGACCAGGAGGAGGAGGAGGAGGAGGAGGAAGGACTGGCTGCAGGGGCAGACCAGGGAGGGCAGGGCCCGTCTGCTGACTTAGGGCCCCCAGCTATAGTCTGTCTGGCTTTGCTTCTCATAAGGGACTTCCTAGGAGGACGGGGCAAGTAGAGTCCAGCTGTGGGCAGGGCTGGTGACCTGCGAGGGGAGATGTCCTTACTGAAAGGGAGGCGGCTGCAGAGAAACCTCAGCTCTGCTGGGGAGCAGGTGTTGATGGTTGGCAGCTCTCCTCTTGGTGGTTTTCAAAATGATTATGATGGTTCCTAGAGCAATGGGAAGACAGAGTTCAAAATAAGAATCCAGAATGTGAGATTCCTAAGTGAGTAGGTCCTAAGGCCAGGGCCGATGTCTCCGAGCCTCAGGTCCACAGGGCTCCTGAGCTGTGGCACGGGCTGTGTGGCTTCCACAACTGCCTCTCCTTCCTCAAGAGTGGAGGCTGGAGATTGCCCTGCAGAATGTTCCAAGTGACTGGTTTTCAGACATAGCGAGTTTCAGAAATATTACTAGTTAGCAAAAGACATGGTGTGGGTGTTTGGCATTGCCAGCTGGCTGCAGGAGGACGCTGGGAGGCAGGACCCACAGCCACAGGAATTTGGGAGTCCATACAACCTCAGAAGGAAGGTTGATGCAAGCATGTTTCTGTGAAACCTCTGCACAATGGAAGTTTGCACTGTGCAAGCAAGGCCCCTCGATTAACTCGGATGGGTGTGCAGGTGTCATCTCTGTGGTGTGTGGGGCCACTGTCGTTCTCCCACCCTCCCTCTAACCAAGGGCAGGAAACCATCTTGGCTGGGCAGAGGTAACCCTGTGCCCTGTTTTAGTTGTGTTTCCCCTGTTATCCCAGGAGGTGGTGCCTCACAGTGGCTGGCTCTGCTGTGGAAGCATTGGTGCTTTCTGTGAGCAGGGACTCTTGTCACTACAATTGGCCCACACTTGAAAGGGACAGTCGCTCGTGAATGGCAGAGACACATTTTGGAATGGGCAGTCCCAGTTCCACCACTTAGTTCCCAGTGCCTGGCACTCAGTGAGGCCTCATGAACATTCTGCCATCTGTCATCCACTGTGGGGACCCCCTGGCAGGCAGCAGGACACCCCTGGCTGTGGAAGGCCCAAGGAGTGGCGATGGGGGACAGGTGGAAGGGGCATCTTTCAGAAGTTCAGGCCACAGCTCTGAGTCACTTCAGAGGCACTCAGGGCCCATCCCCCTTCACCCTTCTCCCCAAAGCTGTCCCCCAATGGGCCCTCCCCCACACAGATAAGACCCTGAGACCCTGGACTCACCTGGGCACTCCCACCCCACTCCACGGCTGGTTCCTGGCTCTCACCAGGCCTTCAGCAGATGCTTGTTGAGGAATGGATGAACGGCCCCAACTGTATCATTGGATGTAAAGGCCGAAGAATTCCAAATGACGTTCTGGCCTCTGGTCAGGTGAAATGGTGAGAAAACCCCAAGATCACATCTTCCCACCCCTCTCCTGCCGCCCTCTTGTGTCCACTCCATCCCCCACCATCTATAAAAAGATGGCGAAACACACAAAATGGAAGACACAAAAGCTCAGTGCAGCAGTGGCTGTGCCCAGCCTCATGGGCAGAGGGGTCACAGGCACAGGCATCTGGAACAGAGCACTGCATGGCAGCTGTGTGCAGCATGGCAGTGACACCTCCGCAGAGGAAAGATAGGCAGGAAAGGAAGGCCAGGTTTGGACCCTGGTTCCCACCTGCCCATGCGGGTTGGGCAGGTGCCTCACCTCCCTGCGTCTTTTTCCTCCCCTCTAAATGGGAAACGTGGCAGCGCCTACCTCAAAGGGTTACTGTGACAGCCAAAGGGAGATGTGCATGCTTATCACCGCACCTGGAGTGAAATTATAAACAACTGGTAAACTTGGCTCTCTTCACAATCACTCCAGAAATGAGAAATCAGGAGAGACGTCCTGGAGACAGGGAACTTCAGGTGGTCTTTGAAATCTGTTCAGTGTTGAAGCCAAAATGTGATGAAGTGAAGAGAAACTCACATTCAGGCCACAGCAGAATAACTGAACCTGCTGCATCAGCCTCAGAGCCAGCCTGGGGCCTGCCGGGGGCTCACTCTGACCTGGAGGTGGCCACAGGAGCTGCTGGAAGAAGGTATGGCTGTTGCCCTTTCTTCCAGAAAGTGCATCCCCCACACCCTGGTGGAAGCTGCATCCCCCACTGCATCTCTGGTGCAGGCCAGCCAGCACCCACCAAGGTTCGCATGCTCCAAGGAGAGGGAGAAGCAAGAGTCAGTGAAACTTGCCGCCTGCAAATCCAGGACACTGCAAGCCAGAAAGTTATTTTTCTGTTCCATTTCACCTCCAAGCTGAATTATTGATTTTAATACTTTATTTTCACATGAGTTTATTTGAGCGACAGATGCTACTCCGGTAGTGCTCGTGAAGCAGAAATGAGACTCTGGTAATTAAAGATTCCATCCTGAGTCCGCAGGTACCAGGAGGATTAGGCTGCTCACTTCAGTGAGTACAGACTCTCAGGGATTAGGACACAGACTCAATCATTCCTTCCACTTTCCTAAATTACACTCACATTCTCCGGGAGGCTTAAGATCCAGCCCATTGGCTCCAGAAAGAGCTTCATTTAACTAAGCTTCCATCATCATAGGGCGGAGATGGTAGCTCGGGTGCCAGCTTGAGGAACAAGCATCCAGGTAGCAGTGACAGGGGTCCCAGTGGGAGACAGAAGAAGCAAGGTCTTTGCTGGAACCCAGGGCTGACAGAGCTGAGGGGAGGGTTGAGGAGCTTTGCAGGCTTTCTCCTCACTCAGGGTCTTCATCTGTGTGGTGGGGTCTCTATGGAGCAGGCAGGGGGACACTCTAGGCGCCTTGGCCAGGTCTTCACCTATCCTCTGAGTTCAGAGTATCTGAACATGGAAGATGCAGGTGTACTCAGATATTAAACAACAACGTCAGGTGTCTTTTTTTTTCATTTCCCGGAAGAACCCACTAAGCATTTATTAGAGATGTTTGGGGAGCATCTGAAGGATCGCACCTGTTACCAAACCAGGAGACGCTTCACATGGGCCCCAGCCATTCCCTGCTCCTGGAAAGCCTTTTGTTAGGCTTTTTCCTCCCCAAAAGCCTAAACAAAACTGACACCAGAAACAAAAGTAATGCCATCAGCAGCACCACAAGTGCCTGGTGTGGGCACTCAGTCATGTGTGGCAGGGGACAGGACCGGCACCAGCATGGAGCTGGTGTGCCCACCATTCCCCATGGAAGGAGAAATGAGGTTTGCTTGAGATCACACAACTGTTTAAAGGCAACACTTGGATCTATAGTCAGGTCTCCTGAGTGACCCCCATGAGCATTGGTCTTCACGGCTCCATGCTGCCCAGCTCTGGAGCTACTGAGGCTGTCTCAGTCTTCATTTGCCTATAGCCAGATCTAGATTGTGGCAGACCAGTGGCAACATCATGTGAATAATCGAAATCCACATTTACTCCAAAACACACATTTTAGCTATTAAGTTGAAATATACGTAATTTGCATTCTTGTAGGTCAAAATATTGTCACTAAGTTCAACCTTTAACCTCAACTTATTTTTAATCCAAGTTACTGAAAACTACTCCTTGTCTTTACAATCCTGTCTCCTCTTTCCCTGCCTCTTCCTTGGGGAAACGAGAGTCAGAGTGAAACGGGACAGGAGATTGAGGCGCCAGGGGCCTGGAGAGCCTCCTCCCCTCTCCACTTATCCCCGTCCCAACCACAGAGATCCCCTCCAGAGGTACCGTGAGGACCTAGTCCCGACTGGAGCGCAGCAGCCTCCACTGTCACCCCATCACTACCCCCATGCCTGCAACAGTGCCCAGCACCGAGTGGGCTCTCCAGAAATGTCTGCTCAGTAAATTAGTAAAATAATTTGTGTTTGAGGACTTTCACTTCTGGGGCCTCCAGGGCTTAGAAAGTAGGTTTAGATGGATTCTTATCTCTTCTTCCTCTGTTTTTCTTTCATCCAAGGAATGTTATTCAGAGTCAATGAAGGAATGTTATTCAGAGTCAATGAAGGAATGTTATTCAGAGTCAATGAAGTTTTTCTCATTGATTCCAACATCTTCGTAGGTTAGCAGGAGTGCTGAGCCTCAGTGCCAGCTGCTTCTCCAGGACTGGTGAATATTTTAACATCTGGGAGTGTCTCTCAGTGCCAGGCATGGTGGAAGTCAGAAGTTGTACCTCTGCGTAAATGCAAACACCTTCAGACTGCTCACTCAGTGTGACAGCAGCACCTGGCACAGTGCTCGGTCCAAAATAGGCCCCATTCAACATCTGATGAGTGACTTAATAAACAAAGCAGCAGGAAATCATAGAGACTTTGGTGAAATCAAGCACTGAGAAGCAGATGAAATTGGAGAATGAAGGATAGAAGTTAAAGGAAACACATGAAGACCCAGAGAGCATGGAAACAAAGGATGAAATGAAACTGGAATCTCAGGGATGGAAGACGCTGAAGACGGAGATTCCAGGTGGAATGATGCGGCCCCAGGTGTGCCCGCAGGTGGCAGTCCACACAGCTGCAGAGGCTGGGAACTGAAGGGAATCTCAGTAATGTCCTGAATTAAAATAGGGGCCGGGAGAGCAGCAAATGGGAAGTGGAGAGGTTGCAGTGCTTCATGAGGGAGATGGGCCACACCCCAGAGAGCCCCTCCCTCCCATCAAAATCCAGGGCTGACTTCTCCAGCCCCACCAGCCTGGATTCTAGGATCTGAAGACCAGAGCCTAGTGGCTCATCCTGCCTTGCCAGGCCCTGAACCAGGGAGGCTTGTGCTTAGGGGAAATGTTAACATGTAATTATGCTGAAATTTCTGTTGTTGGAATGATAATAATCCGTCCTGGCACATTTCACAAAACTTTTCAAATATTAAACCTAAGCCAGAAACAAACATCCCAGTGGTAGCCACCGGACTTCCCAGGACCACTCACAGGTCTTGCAGAATCCCCAACCTAGGAGCCAGCCCTGGCCCACTAGACAGGCCTCGTGTATCCCAGGGAGCGCTGCCAGTGCATGCCCGGCTGAAAAGGCACTTTCCACAATGACAAGGCCACAGTCGGCATGGAGGATTTTGGTCTATAGGCATGGGGTGAGATTCAGACCAAAGAGTCAGGATCCGCTGAGAGGCAATCTTACACTGTCCAGCAATGGCACATTTCTTTCTGGATGAAGTTTGGTGCTCAATACCCAACATGACAGGCAATGTTTATCAGTCACCCTCTGGGTATGGAGTCTTGAACCCCCTAGAGGCAACCTCAGACATGTCCCAAATATCATTCCTTCAAGTGCAAATTCCTACAACCCAACACACAAAAATGTCTGTGTGGTTTGCTGTCAGAGGCATGGACTTCGGTTAGTCTAAATATCCATCAGTTAAAGAACTGAATTTTATAAAAAAATCATTGCCTTTTTGGGGACTTTTCCCCTGTAGGAAATCTTAGGAATCTGATGGAATTTGATCATTGCCAAAATCAACTTTATAAGAAACTGCATCTGTTTATCCTAGAAAACCACTTCTCCAACACTTTTCCAGCTGAGAAAATAAAGTGCTAGAGAAAAATGTGCATTCCATGCTCTATTTATCCTGTCCTTTCTAAAAAAAATAGAAATAGAGGTAGTCTGTGTTAAAGAGCTCCCTGACCTGCTAATCACCCACAAAAATAAATTATATGATGGAAAATTAGCTACCTGGAAATGCAAATTAAAGCAATGCTAAGATACCAGTACCAAAACCCAGAACACTGACACCACCAAATGCCAGTGAGGGTGTGGAGCAACAGGAAATTCAGTCGCTGCTGGTGGGAGTGCAAAATGGTGCACCCACTGTGGAAGACAGCGTGGCATTTTCTTATGAAACTAAACATACTCTGACCATATGGTTCAGCAATCACACTCCTTGGTCTTTACCCAGATGAATTGAAAATTTGTGTCCACACAGAAAAAAGGCACATGGATGTTTATAGTAGCTTTATCATAGTTGCCAAAACATGAAAGCAACGAAAACGCCCTTCAGTAAGCCAGTGGATACACAAACTCTCATCCATCCAGAAAATGGAATATGAGTCAGCATTACAAAGAAGGAAGACAGGGAGGAAACATAAATGCATATTGCTGAGTGAAATAAGTCCATCCAGAAAGCATACATGTTGTATGATTCCATCTACAGGACATTCTGGAAAAGGCAAGACCATGGAGACAGTGGAATGATCAGGGGCTACCAGGAGCTGGAGGAAGGAGGGCTGAGTAGGTGGAGCACAGGGGATTTTAGGGCAGGGAAACTGCTCTGTGTGTACTACAGTGGGAGATACTTTTTTTTTTTAATTTATTTTTTTTATTATACTTTAAGTTTTAGGGTACATGTGCACATTGTGCAGGTTAGTTACATATGTATACATGTGCCATGCTGGTGTGCTGCACCCACTAACTTGTCATCTAGCATTAGGTATATCTCCCAATGCTATCCCTCCCCCCTCCCCCCACCCCACGACAGTCCCCAGAGTGTGATGTTCCCCTTCCTGTGTCCATGTGATCTCATTGTTCAATTCCCACCTATGAGTGAGAATATGCGGTGTTTGGTTTTTTGTTCTTGCGATAGTTTACTGAGAATGATGATTTCCAATTTCATCCATGTCCCTACAAAGGACATGAACTCGTCATTTTTCATGGCTGCATAGTATTCCATGGTATATATGTGCCACATTTTCTTAATCCAGTCTATCATTATTGGACATTTGGGTTGGTTCCAAGTCTTTGCTATTGTGAATAATGCCACAATAAACATACGTGTGCAGGTGTCTTTATAGCAGCATGATTTATAGTCCTTTGGGTATATACCCAGTAATGGGATGGCTGGGTCAAATGGTATTTCTAGTTCTAGATCCCTGAGGAATGACCACACTGACTTCCACAATGGTTGAACTAGTTTACAGTCCCACCAACAGTGTAAAAGTGTTCCTATTTCTCCACATCCTCTCCAGCACCTGTTGTTTCCTGACTTTTTAATGATTGCCATTCTAACTGGTGTGAGATGGTATCTCATTGTGGCTTTGATTTGCATTTCTCTGATAGCCAGTGATGGTGAGCATTTTTTCATGTGTTTTTTGGCTGCATAAATGTCTTCTTTTGAGAAGTGTTTGTTCATATCCTTCGCCCACTTTTTGAATGGGGTTGTTTTTTTCTTGTAAATTTGTTTGAGTTCATTGTAGATTCTGGATATTAGCCCTTTGTCAGATGCGTAGGTTGCGAAAATTTTCTCCCATTTTGTAGGTTGCCTGTTCACTCTGATGGTAGTTTCTTTTGCTGTGCAGAAGCTCTTTAGTTTAATTAGATCCCATTTGTCAATTTTGTCTTTTGTTGCCATTGCTTTTGGTGTTTTAGACATGAAGTCCTTGCCCATGCCTATGTCCTGAATGGTAATGCCTAGGTTTTCTTCTAGGGTTTTTATGGTTTTAGGTCTAACGTTTAAGTCTTTAATCCATCTTGAATTGATTTTTGTATAAGGTGTAAGGAAGGGATCCAGTTTCAGCTTTCTACATATGGCTAGCTAGTTTTCCCAGCACCATTTATTAAATAGGGAATCCTTTCCCCATTGCCTGTTTTTGTCAGGTTTGTCAAAGATCAGATAGTTGTAGATATGCGGCGTTATTTCTGACGGCTCTGTTCTGTTCCATTGATCTATATCTCTGTTTTGGTACCAGTACCATGCTGTTTTGGTACCAGTACCATGCTGTTTTGGTTACTGTAGCTTTGTAGTATAGTTTGAAGTCAGGTAGTGTGATGCCTCCAGCTTTGTTCTTTTGGCTTAGGATTGACTTAGCGATGCGGGCTCTTTTTTGGTTCCATATGAACTTTAAAGTAGTTTTTTCCAATTCTGTGAAGACAGGCATTGGTAGCTTGATGGGGATGGCATTGAATCTGCAAATTACCTTGGGCAGTATGGCCATTTTCACGATATTGATTCTTCCTACCCATGAGCATGGAATGTTCTTCCATTTGTTTGTATCCTCTTTCATTTCCTTGAGCAGTGGTTTGTAGTTCTCCTTGAAGAGGTCCTTCACATCCCTTGTAAGTTGGATTCCTAGGTATTTTATTGTCTTTGAAGCAATTGTGAATGGGAGTTCACTCATGATTTGGCTCTCTGTTTGTCTGTTGTTGGTGTATAGGAATGCTTGTGATTTTTGTACATTGATTTTGTATCCTGAGACTTTGCTGAAGTTGCTTATCAGCTTAAGGAGATTTTGGGCTGAGACAATGGGGTTTTCTAGATATACAATCATGTCATCTGCAAACAGGGACAATTTGACTTCCTCTTTTCCTAATTGAATACCCTTTATTTCCTTCTCCTGCCTAATTGCACTGGCCAGAACTTCCAACACTATGTTGAATAGGAGTGGTGAGATAGGGCATCCCTCTCACTGTCTTGTGCCAGTTTTCAAAGGGAATGCTTCCAGTTTTTGCCCATTCAGTAGGATATTGGCTGTGGGTTTGTCATAGATAGCTCTTATTATTTTGAAATATGTCCCATCAATACCTAATTTATTGAGAGTTTTTAGCATGAAGGGTTGTTGAATTTTGTCAAAGGCCTTTTCTGCATCTATTGAGATAATCATGTGGTGTTTGTCTTTGGCTCTGTTTATATGCTGGATTACATTTATTGATTTTCGTATGTTGAACCAGCCTTGCATCCCAGGGATGAAGCCCACTTGATCATGGTGGATAAGCTTTTTGATGTGCTGCTGGATTCGGTTTGCCAGTATTTTATTGAGGATTTTTGCATCAATGTTCATCAAGGATATTGGTCTAAAATTCTCTTTTTTGGTTGTGTCTCTGCCAGGCTTTGGTATCAGAATGATGCTGGCCTCCTAAAATGAGTTAGGGAGGATTCTCTCTTTTTCTATTGATTGGAATAGTTTCAGAAGGAATGGTACCAGTTCCTCCTTGTACCTCTGGTAGAATTCGGCTGTGAATCCATCTGGTCCTGGACTCTTTTTGGTTGGTAAACTATTGATTATTGCCCCAATTTCAGATCCTGTTACTGGTCTATTCAGAGATTCAACTTCTTCCTGGTTTAGTCTTGGGAGGATGTATGTGTCGAGGAATTTATCCATTTCTTCTAGATTTTCTAGTTTATTTGCGTAGAGGTGTTTGTATTATTCTCTGATGGTAGTTTGTATTTCTGTGGGATCAGTGGTGATATCCCCTTTATCATTTTTTATTGCGTCTATTTGATTCTTCTCTCTTTTTTTCTTTATTAGTCTTGCTAGTGGTCTATCAATTTTGTTGATCCTTTCAAAAAACCAGCTCCTGGATTCATTAATTTTTTGAAGGGTTTTTTGTGTCTCTCTTTCCTTCAGTTCTGCTCTGATTTTAGTTATTTCTTGCCTTCTGCTAGCTTGTTATTTCTTGCCTTCTGCTAGCTTTTGAATGTGTTTGCTCTTGCTTTTCTAGTTCTTTTAATTGTGATGTTAGGGTGTCAATTTTGGATCTTTCCTGCTTTCTCTTGTGGGCATTTAGTGCTATAAATTTCCCTCTACACACTGCTTTGAATGCGTCCCAGAGATTCTGGTATGTTGGGTCTTTGTTCTCATTGGTTTCAAAGAACATCTTTATTTCTGCCTTCATTTCGTTATGTACCCAGTAGTCATTCAGGAGCAGGTTGTTCAGTTTCCATGTAGTTGAGCGGTTTTGAGTGAGATTCTTAATCCTGAGTTCTAGTTTGATTGCACTGTGGTCTGAGAGATAGTTTGTTATAATGTCTGTTCTTTTACATTTGCTGAGGAGAGCTTTACTTCCAAGTATGTGGTCAATTTTGGAATAGGTGTGGTGTGGTGCTGAAAAAAAATGTATATTCTGTTGATTTGGGGTGGAGAGTTCTGTAGATGTCTATTAGGTCTGCTTGTTGCAGAGCTGAGTTTAATTCCTGGGTATCCTTGTTGACTTTCTGTCTCCTTGATCTGTCTAATGTTGACAGTGGGGTGTTAAAGTCTCCCATTATTAATGTGTGGGAGTCTAAGTCTCTTTGTAGGTCACTCAGGACTTGCTTTATGAATCTGGGTGCTCCTGTATTGGGTGCATATATATTTAGGATAGTTAGCTCTTCTTGTTGAATTGATCCCTTTACCATTATGTAATGGCCTTCTTTGTCTCTTTTGATCTTTGTTGGTTTAAAGGCTGTTTTATCAGAGACTAGGATTGCAACCCTTGCCTTTTTTTGTTTTCCATTTGCTTGGTAGATCTTCCTCCATCCCTTTATTTTGAGCCTATGTGTGTCTCTGCACATGAGATGGGTTTCCTGAATACAGCACACTGATGGGTCTTGACTCTTTATCCAATTTGCCAGTCTGTGTCTTTTAATTGGAGCATTTAGTCCATTTACATTTAAAGTTAATAGTGTTATGTGTGAATTTGATCCTGTCATTATGATGTTAGCTGGTTATTTTGCTCATTAGTTGATGCAGTTTCTTCCTAGTCTCAATGGTCTTTACATTTTGGCATGATTTTGCAGTGGCTGGTACCGGTTGTTCCTTTCCATGTTTAGTGCTTCCTCCAGGAGCTCTTTTAGGGCAGGCCTGGTGGTGACAAAATCTCTCAGCATTTGCTTGTCTGTAAAGTATTTTATTTCTCCTTCACTTATGAAGCTTAGTTTGGCTGGATATGAAATTCTGGGTTGAAAATTCTTTTAAGAATGTTGAATATTGGTCCCCACTCTCTTCTGGCTTGTAGGGTTTCTGCCGAGAGATCAGCTGTTAGTCTGATGGGCTTCCCTTTGAGGGTAACCCGACCCTTCTCTCTGGCTGCCCTTAACATTTTTTCCTTCATTTCAACTTTGGTGAATCTGACAATTATGTGTCTTGGAGTTGCTCTTCTTGAGGAGTATCTTTGTGGCATTCTCTGTATTTCCCGAATCTGAACGTTGGCCTGCCTTGCTAGATTGGGGAAATTCTCCTGGATAATATCCTGCAGAGTGTTTTCCAACTTGGTTCCATTCTCCCCATCACTTTCAGGTACACCAATCAGATGTAGATTTGGTCTTTTCACATAGTCCCATATTTCTTGGAGGCTTTGCTCATTTCTTTTTATTCTTTTTTCTCTAAACTTTCCTTCTCGCTTCATTTCATTCATTTCATCTTCCATTGCTGATACCCTTTCTTCCAGTTGATCGCATCGGCTCCTGAGGCTTCTGCATTCTTCACGTAGTTCTCGAGCCTTGGTTTTCAGCTCTATCAGCTCCTTTAAGCACTTCTCTGTATTGGTTATTCTAGTTACAAATTCTTCTAAATTTTTTTCAAAGTTTTCAACTTCTTTGCCTTTGGTTTGAATGTCCTCCCGTAGCTCAGAGTAATTTGATCGTCTGAAGCCTTCTTCTCTCAGCTAGTCAAAGTCATTCTCCGTCCAGCTTTGTTCCGTTGCTGGTGAGGAGCTGTGTTCCTTTGGAGGAGGAGAGGCGCTCTGATTTTTAGAGTTTCCAGTTTTTCTGTTCTGTTTTTTCCCCATCTTTGTGGTTTTATCTACTTTTGGTCTTTGATGATGGTGATGTACAGATGGGTTTTTGGTGTGGATGTCCTTTCTGTTTGTTAGTTTTCCTTCTAACAGACAGGACCCTCAGCTGCAGGTCTGTTGGAGTACCCTGTAGTGTGAGGTGTCAGTGTGCCCCTGCTGGAGGGTGCCTCCCAGTTAGGCTGCTCAGGGGTCAGGGGTCAGGGACCCACTTGAGGAGGCAGTCTGCCCGTTCTCAGATCTCCAGCTGCATACTGGGAGAACCCCTGCTCTCTTCAAAGCTGTCAGACAGGGACATTTAAGTCTGCAGAGGTTACTGCTGTCTTTTTGTTTGTCTGTGCCCTGCCCCCAGAGGTGGAGCCTACAGAGGCACGCAGGCCTCCTTGAGCTGTGGTGGGCTCCACCCAGTTCGAGCTTCCCGGCTGCTTTGTTTACCTAAGCAAGCCTGGCCAATGGTGGGCGCCCCTCCCCCAGGCTCGCTGCCGCCTTGCAGTTTGATCTCAGACTGCTGTGCTAGCAATCAGCGAGACTCCGTGGGGTAGGACCCTCCGAGCCAGGTGTGGGATATAATCTCGTGGTGCGCCGTTTTTTAAGCCCGTCGGAAAAGCGCAGTATTCAGGTGGGAGTGACCGGATTTTCCAGGTGCCGTCCGTCACCCCTTTCTTTGATTAGGAAAGGGAACTCCCTGACCCCTTGCGCTTCCCAAGTGAGGCAATGCCTCGCCCTGCTTCGGCTCGCGCACGGTGTGCGCACCCACTGACCTGCACCCACTGTCTGGCACTCCCTAGTGAGATGAACCTGGTACCTCAGATGGAAATGCAGAAATCACCCGTCTTCTGCGTCGCTCAGGCTGGGAGCTGTAGACTGGAGCTGTTCCTATTCGGCCATCTTGGCTCCTCCCTAGATGGGAGATACATTTTATACATTTGTCAAACCCATGCAGTGCACAACACCAGAGTGAGCCCTCCTGTGAACCGTGGGCTCCAGGTGGTAGTGATGTGTCACTGTAAGGTCACCAATTGTGGGGACTTTGATAATAGAGGAGCAGGTGCATGTGTGGAGGCAGCAGGTACAGGGAACATCTCTGTAGCTTCTGCCCAGTTTTGCTTTGAACTTAAAACTGCTTTAAAATATAGTCTATTTGTTAAAAATTAGCTACTTGGCAGGATTATACCAGAGGTGTTAGCACAAAATTCAATGACAGGAAATAAACCACAAGAAATCCATAATGATTTCTCAGGGATGCCTGGTCTTTACTCTAAATCCTAAGCAGTCACCCTAGTATTTAATCAGCCAAATTAATGAACCCTGAAGAGGGAGGGAAGGAGGGAGGAATGGAGGGACAGAGAGAGAGAGAGAAGAGAGAAGCATCAAGAAAAGAAAGTTTTCTGTTTAAGGTTGATTTTCTTAACGGTTTTATATTGGGCATTGATTGATATTCAATATTTTGATGGGTTTCATTTTCAATAATGTATGTAAGCACTTCCATTTATAATCTATTTAGGTTCTAAAATTCACCTGTTCAAGCCTATCCCCATATCAAAGGCTGCTATCCCCCTCTGTTGGTGGTAACCAGAGTTGATGACTTTTGCTTGGCCACTTAATTTTTCTCATCTCTATGAACATTCAGCAGTTAAGTCACTTCTGTATTTTATTTTTAACGGAATTAAGTAAACATTTTATCTTGTTATCTTTAAAATTAGCACGCACAGAGTCCATAACCGTGTGGACCTGTTAAATCCCTGTGCCACGATTTTATCATCAGTACCATAACTGAAGAGACAAGAAAGCGTTCCGTAATTCCTCAGTATTTTACCAAGAGGAGTGAGCTTTCTGACCAGTGCTTATGTGCCCTGTATTTGGTCAATTCCTCTCAGAACCAGTGGTTTTTAAGTGGGAGATGACACCACGGTCCGGCAATAGAGTGGACACCAGGGCCAATTCAGCTCCTTGATCACTGATCCCAGAAGCATGTCACAACCCTGACAATCACAGCAGCATCTTACATTGCATATTGCTTTATCTTCTAAGCACCTTGGCCTACATGTCCTCTCTTTTGGCATAGTGACCACATCAAGGTGAAAGAACAAGTGGGGTTGTAATATCTCATGGATGAGAAAAACAAGCCTCCAAGAGCAGGGTAAATGATTGCCCACAGCCAGACAGTGCATGGCAGCAGATTCACATCTGTATGTTTTGATTTTAAATCCAAATCCCTTTTCAGTGAATATTTACTGAGCATCTATGAAGCCCACGAGGAATTTTAAAATGAGGAAGATACAATTGCTATGCTCAGGGAGGCAGCTAAAGAAGCATTTTGAACAGGTCTTCAGTAAATATTCATTGAACGAATGAACAAATTATACCGTGTCATGAGTAACATAGGAAAGATATTTTTAAGTGTTATAGGAGCACACATGGGGGGAATTGATTAGTGGAGGAGGAGGTGTCTGTGTGAGCCCAGCAATGTCAGGAGGAGAGGCGTGGGGGTGCCCCAAGGAGAGGTGGTGTGGGGGGCGTGGAGCTGGCATCAGCCTGGCTGTGTGGTGTGGTGTGAGAGGCTGGGAGCAGCCGTCACTGTAGGAACAGGAGGGGATGTGGAAGAACCATCCCTGCTGCGAGGGCAGCCTTCAATGGGCATCCATCTGTAGATGCCATTATACCTGCATGTGAGAAAACTTAAGCCACCAGCAAGGCTAAAAGGGTTTGGAAGGAAGACAGATGAGAAGCAGAGAGACTACTTAAGAGGCAACTATGATAGTTTTTATTTTTAAAAATCCCAAAAGCACCAAAACAGGGAAGGATCTTTAAACAGCTGGAGGGCAGAGTGGGAAAATCTCATCCCTGCGAGATGAGACAAGTGTGGTGGGTACGGCCAGGATGGTGGGGAACCAAGGAAAAGGACCTCTGCCTCCAGGGTCCTCCACCGGGCCCCCCTGGTGAGGTAGGTAACTCCAGCATGTGGTTGATGGCCAGGCGTGAAGTGGCCGTTAGGACAATGAGCCACATTCAAGTAGCAACTGCACTTTATTCACTTGGAGACACAGAGCAGGGAAGAGGCCAGGGTGTCCGCATGGCCTCCGGAAGCACAGGGGACCAGACTGTGGGACCCTCTCTTTGCCCAGGAGCCCAAACCAAAGGCTGCTGCTGCATCGTAACCCAGGAGGTCAGGAAGCAGAAGGAGGCGAAGCCCAGGGGCAGAAGAGTCCCTAGTCTGATGGATGAAATGTCCTTAGCTCCACGTCCTACAGAAAGCTGCTGCACCAAGCCGTGCACCAGTGTGGGATGGGAGGGCAGCTTCCCCATGAGGTCTGCAGGACACAGCCTCATCCTCCTGTGGTCAGGGCTGAGAATCTCACACAGGCGATCAGCCAGGGCAGAGTTCTCATTTGCATACCGTCCAAACTAGTGGATGACATACGGGGCTGCACACTTAAAATCACCAAAGGAGTCACTGCTTGCGACTTAAAGTGACTCTAGAATTTTCTAATGCCTGGAGTCTGCTAGATCTTCACCAGGGGCAGGGGAAGGACACCCCTGCTGACATGTGAGGGGCAGTCCAGGCTGGGGCTGTGGCCACGTCCACGTCCCCCAGTGAGGCAGGTGCCCCTCACACTCTACGCACACTGGTTCTGCACTTCCTGGCTTTTGCAGGCAGGCTCCTGATGCCTTCCGGGCTCTGCTTGTGGGTTTCCCCATCTGGGGCCCCTTCGTGACTCCCCAGATTAGCTGGGGTCCCTGTGATCTGGTCTCCTAGTCACTTACGCTTTCCTTCTTAACACACAAGACATTTAAGAGCATGTGTCTTCCAGCTGGCTTCACTATCATCATAAGGGAGAATCATTATCCAACATCAAATAAAAATGGCATTGTGGCTGGGCACTGTGGCTCACACCTGTCATCCCAGCAGTTTGGGAGGCCAAGGCAGGTGGATCACTTGAGCCCAGAAGTTCAAGACCAACCTGGGCACCATAGTGAAACCCCATCTCTACAAAAAATAAAAATAAAAACTTAACCGGGCATGGTGATGCACGTCAGTGGTCCTAGCTTCTCGGGAGGCTAAAGTGAGAGGATCACTTGAGCCCCAGAGGTGGAGGCTGCAGTGAGCCAAGAGTGTGCCACTGCACTCCAGCCTGGGCAAATCTAAAAAAAAAAAAAAAAAAAAAAAAAAAAAAAAAAAAAAAAAAAAAAAAAAAATTCCCGTCGCACATGGGATAGTCGGCAGCATTGCACTGCACTCTGCAGTGGGGCACGTGCCCTTGAGGGGAGCTCCTGCTTGAGCCCAGTATGTGTCTTCTCCATCCACGTGTGTCCTGTTTCTTCCAAAAAAGAGGCCCTTCCTTGCCTCAGTTTGGCTACTGCCTGTCTCTATGAAGTCTTCTCTGGGCTCCCTCAAGGTGAATTTTGTGCATACCATCCTGCCTAGGTTTTAAGCGCAATAGCATCTCAAATATAGGCTGTAAATTAGGTGAAGGGAAAACCTCACTTTCAATAGACAACATCTGCTCAGCCCTGGGATGTGCCCCCGGGATCACCCAGAGCAGACTCCATGGAAACCCTTAAGTCCAGCCACTCCAAAAAACCTTCCTTGGCAAAAAAACATAAAAACATAGCCGGCTGTTTTCCCCAAGCTGTGTTTACAAAGCCATTGTGAGAAACTTCATTTTGTCTTTATAAACTTGTGTTATTTTTTTCAATAGCATCTACTCCCTACATTTTAGTCTCCCGGAATGACAGATCTCTGTCCGTTTCGTTTGCTGCCTGGCATGTGGGAGGCACAATGGAGACAATGTGTGTGTTTCTGAAATGAATAAATGACAGAATGGTCCATTTTTTGCTATCTCAAATAGGAGGGAGGGAAGTGGAAAGCAAGGCTGTGTTTGTGAGAGCTCCTCAGCCGCTACAGCAAGTGAGCACACCCAGGTGGCTGAAATGACAGAAGTTTATTCTCTCAAAGCTCTGGAACCAGAGCTGACCTCCAGGTGTGGGCAGGGCTGGTTCCTTCTGATTCTAAGGGGCATCTGTCCCACCCTCTCTCCTGGCCTCCAGCCATGGCTGGGGATCCTCTGCCCCGGGCTGCGGCTGCATCCCTCCAGCCCCTGCCTCCATGGCTGCTGCTGTCCTGGCTGTGCCCGCGTCTCTAGACTGGGGGAGTTTCAGGGCTTACCGAGGAAAAAGGTGTGCCCCCCGGTGGCAGGAGCGCACACAGGCTGTATGAGGCTGGCGCTTGGACAGATTTGCATGCAGGGGCATCTGTCATGGCCTAAGACTGTTCCAAGAGGAGAGGAGGGCAAGGGAGCTGCTGGGAAGAGGGGTTCAGAGGGGGCTCCTTGTCCAGGCGATGCCACGCAGCCACCCTCGGGGGTCTCTGGGTCAGAGGGCTCTTCGGGGTCTGAACGGCCAGTGGTCTTATAACCACAAGGCCCCACCTTATCAGTGGGGAACAGCTCTATGGTAAGGTTTCACAGGGAATGCCAAGCAGGTACCATTTCAACGGCTAAAAATCTGCTTGTTTGGGCTATTTTTAAAATAACTGGATGTGTAAAAACTTGAGTTTGGCTCTGGCAAGCTTTGAGCTAATGGGGCTCAGTTGCAGTGAAGAAACATAACACCTGCGGGTCCATAACCACGGCTGACGGGGGCTACGCCTCCCTCCATACCCAAGGCCGACGGGGGCTACACCTCCCTTCCTCCCTGCGATAAAGACACCAGTCCCTGGATTTAGGGCTTCCTCTAAGGCCAGGATAATTTCGTTTCTAAATCCTTTACTAATCACATCTGCAAACACCCTATTTCCAAATAACATTATGCTCTGAGGTTCTGGGTAGACCTAAATTTGGAGGATACTATTGAATCCAGGATACTTATTTTTGTTTGTGTTTAGATAGGTATTTTGTATAGGAGGAAAAGAAAAGGAAAACACGAAAGATTACACAAATAAAATACTGGAGAGATGGGAGTTAGAAAAGACAGACTGTTACTGCCCTGAAGGCAGCGGGCAGGACAGCACCGAGCATCTTAGCAAGGAGCCAGGCTGGGAGCAGAGAAGGAGTGTATTTTTTCTGGCAGTAAGGAAGGAGAAAGGGATGAGTGAAAAAGGAATTTTGCAGTAGAAATGAGGGTGGCTAAAAACTACTCTCCCATTTTCCAATTATGTTGTTGAGCTTAGAACACAGACAGCAGGGCCTCCTCCTTTCCACACTTGATTGTGTCCCAGGAGTTTTGGGGTCATTACATATGTTGTGGATAGAAAGATGCTAAATGCAGAGAGTCCCAGGCAAAGCTGCAGACAACCATCCTGACCCCTTCCCCCTGCCCTCCCCCAACGTTTGTGATGGAGCACTTGGCCTTCTGTACTCCACAGCACCACAGGAAGACTCCCATGCACCAGGCCTGTCCCTCAATTCTCTGCCGCCAGTTAGGTGTCTCAATGTGGCAGTTGTCTGGAAAAGCATAGAATACGTTATGGAATCATCAGTAGCCAATAACCATTTCAGTCCTGTCCTCCGATAATGGGGTTAAGCAGCATCTCTACTGTGAGAGACCAGCAGTGGGGAATGAAAGCTTTAGTACAGACTTCCTGGAGCCTTCACATTTTTCTACAGTCTGCACACACTAAGCTGTTGAGATGGGTTAGATTACAGGTCAGTAAATATTCGCCTTCTCTCCCTCCTCTGTGGAGGGAACATACTTTCCCCTCCCATTCATGTTTGTCTTACACGTGGATCCTGCTTAGGCCAGTGGGACTGGAGGGTCCCAATAAGCAGAGGTTTGAAGTTCACTTGAGCAGGTGGACTTGGACCCTGGCACATCTGCCAGCACCATGACAGGAAGGGGTCTCCAGAGGGGCTGATCCAAAGGGAGTTGCACATGGAGCGGGCCTGACCCCACAGCACAGCTGGAAGCCAAGCTGCACAGGCCAGTCAATATCACCCCACCCCAGTCCAACCACAGGCTCCTGAGTGAGGAGCAAATGCTTGCTGACTGAGCCGTTGCGCTTGGGGATGGTCATTACACAGCAAGAGCTTACTGCTGCACCACACATAGGCCACCTTTTCCTACTACAGTCTGTGAATCAACAGGGTCTTAAAGAAGCTGTACTTCTCCCATATTCAATGATATTAGAGATTATTTTCTGAAAAATATTTTGAAAGAATAAAATAAAACCATTTATCATTATTCTGTATTTTAAACTTAGGTAATTCTAAAAAGCAAAAATTCTTAATGAGACCCTTCATGCATTCTGCTATTTCTGATCTCTAAATAAGTCAGGATTCTAGAGGCAGATCCAAAATCGTATCAAGAGAGGTCATTGAAGAAACAGAGGCGCACACGTCAGCTCAGAGCCCAGACTCCCACCACCAGAGAGAGCGGCACTCAGGGTCCTCTTGTCCTCCCTGTCCGTTGTACTCTTTCTCCTAAATTGCATCGGACATCTCTGATGTTGTCCCCAACATTTCCTGGTGAAATTGTTATGTTCTATCTGATTATCACCTAAATGACTTAAAGAGGTCAAAAGTGCACAGCAATCCACTTCAACACATGCCTGGGATGTAAATACCTGTAACCCCAGCATATCTTCCTGCACCGAACTCTCACACTCTTCCCAAGATTTTGCAGCACCTTGAAGGTCATTTCTTGGCTTTTAGCTCCTCTGATGTTTCTCTCCCACATCCCATGTCACATTCACACTCCCCAGGCCCCATCAATCAGCCAACCAACAGCGACAAACGTCATATGTCGAGCTCTGCACCAGACATAACGCCATGACCTCAAACAGAAAGGCCTTGTCCTGGCCTTCCTGGAACACCGGCATTTCCACACCTGAAGTGAGAGGAACACACGTAATGAAGATATTCAACATGTTTCACCAGGAAAGGATGTGGGCCGTTCCCGCAGAAGCCAGCTGCTTACCTGCTGCCAGTGACTCCGCACTCCAGCTGCACACAGAAATCTGCTTTGACAAACAGAGACATCCTGGCCCCAGCCCAGGCATCCTATCACAATTGGTCTAGGTCGGGGCCTTGGCAGGGGACAGTTTTTAAATCTCCCCAGGAGAATACAATTTGCAGGCAGGGCTGAGAGCCACCACTCCATGCTGTGGGCACATGGGTTGTCAGAATTGGGTAGCGCTAATTAGGGCTGGCATCAGGGGAGAAGCAATTTTCAACTCAGGGAAGGAGATGGCTTGACTGGAATTCCATCACAGGTGTAATAATGAGCTCAGCAAAGCTTTGACGTTGGGGGCAAGATAACAGAAAGGCAAGGCAGTGTGACCCAGCGGTTACCATCGCTGGATGGGGGAAGCGAGACAGTCATGTCAGAGCCGGAGAAGTCCTAGGGTCGACATCACTGGAACCCTCTGCTTGGTTATCAGTCAAACAACGCGAGGGGCTGCTGCCTTCTTCGAGAATCAGTTTCCCCAGCTGTAAGGTGAAACGCCATCAGGTGAGTCAAGGGCCCATCAGCACACACTCAGAGTGTGCAGCTGTGGCTGACAGAAATGAGGAATTCATCCTCACACTGAAGATGGGTAAGTGAGGAGCCACGTCACCCCGCCAGGTCCCAGGCATCACAAGTCTTCCTGGGCCTCTGTTCTTGCACACACACTGCTCATGTGAGCCTCAGCCATCTGCACATGGCTGGCATCAGAAATGGAATTTCTCCAACAGAACTGCAAGCACACCCCGATGGAGAGATGTGGCCACCACAGAGCTGATTCTATCGGCAGTCACTCATCTTCAATGGTGGAAAAGTTGAATTCTTCCTCATCTCAAATGATCTATTCTCGTACCCACTGCAGCTGATTTTCATCCATCTCCTCCTCACCCTGCAGCCCACCTGATGGAATTCCCATTCATGGGAAGTTCTCTTCTGAGCTTGCTCTAAGTTTTTTCTTTGTTTGCACTTCCAGATGACCAACAGCTCCCCCATGCCCCCGCCCCCCTGCAAGCCACAGATGCTGTCTTTTGTTTTGCATTTCTGCTGCGAGAAAGACATTGCCCTGCCGACACTCCGAGAGGCATCAGTGAGTAAAGTCTGTTTTACAGGCTGCAAAGCCATCTGGACTTTCTGCTGAAAAGGTTGGACATGGTTTTAGGCAAGATTTTTATCACATCTGAGAGGGAAGAAAAGCCTTGAATGCATTACCATCTTCCGAGGTTGGTGTCAGATTTATTTCCCCTTGTCAGTTGCAAAACAAAACAAAAAGAGATGACATAGAAAGGAGTGGGGAATGAAGATACACATCTCCAGAGGAAGCTTTGTCAAAGGTAGTGGAGGATAAACAAAAAATAAATTAGTTTTGGTTTTATCAGAAACTGGACAGACTTCCACTGGTATAATAGTTTGTCCAGCATGACTGAGCCTTTCCAGCGAGAATGCCCTGAAAATGCAAAAGAAAAATCGAGATGCTCACAACAGAGGCAGAGATTTGCTTTCTAAAACTGATTAATAGCTTTTAAACACACACAAGAAGAAAGGCAGAGGAGGACGGGGCTAAAACAGACCACATGAAGAGTAAAACTGCTTTGAAATCTCTCTCTCCTTCCCTTCCTCCCTCCCTTCTCTTTCTCCCTCTCTGCCCTCTTCCCCCACCTCCCTCCCCTCTCTCTTCCCCCTTCTCTCCCTGCTCTTTCCCTCCCTCCTTCCCTCCCTCTGTCCCTCTCCCCCCGTCCCTCTCTCCCTCCCCGTCCCTCTCTCCCTCCCTCCCTCTTTTTTCTATTCCTGTCTTTCTCTCCCCCTCTCCCCCCTTCTTACCCTCCCTCTCCCTCTCTCTTTCCTTCCCTATGTCCCTTTCTCTTTCTCTCTCCCCCCTTCCCTCCTTTCCTCCCTTTCTCTCCCTCCTCTCCCCCCTTTCCCTCCCTCCCTCTGCATCTCTTCCTGTGTCCCTCTCTCTCCCCTCCCTCTCTCCTTCCCTCCCTCTCCCTCTCTCTCTCCTTCCCTCCCTCTCCCTCTCTCTCCTTCCCTCTCTCCATGGAAGGATGTTATGTATCTTAGCAACAAAGGCTTTGGATTTTCCCCTCCAGTTACTGACAAGAAACCAGAATGATTTCTGGTGTCAGAAACCTTCCTCGAACAAGGAGCTTTCTCTGGAGAACAGGCTCCGAGCAGCCACACGTCATTCGACCTCTGTTCCCCGTTGGGGTGTCCTCAGGCCAGGACATCCTGGCAAGTGGGCCGTCAGCGGGCAGTGGCATCGCAGCCTCAGCCGGGAGACCCAAGTCACTCCTCTCAGAAGCGCGGCACCCGAACCACCTCTGTTCATCACATTTTGTCCCGTGGAGCAGTGACAAGACCCAGCAAGATTTCATGGCGACAGAACTTGAAGGTTTCAGGGCGACGGAACCTGAGAGTGATACAGACATTTTGATTCCTGGTGCAACAGGGTATGAAGAAAACACATACCTAATTTTATCGGAAAAGATATACTGAGTGTCTATGCATGCTGTGATTTGAAAGAAAATCACTCAGTAGAGAAGGGCCTCAGGTCACAAGCCTTTTGTCTAAGTGAGGGGGATAAAAAGGCTTCACAGTAGAGTGACAATTACTAATCCTGCGACAGTAATATATGCAACTTTTAAATTTTTTTCTAAACATTTATTTTGTGACTACTCTGTTTCAATGCTCCCTGGGAGTGAAAAACAAGATTCTAGCCAGGTGCGGTGGCTCACGCCTGTAATCTCAGCACTGTGGGAGGCTGAGGCGGGAGGATGGCTTGAGGCCAAGGAGTTCGAGACCAGCCTGGGTCACAGAGTGAGGTGCCCTCCCCTACCCACTCCCAGACTATCTGGAAACACCCAGTGCAGACAAGGTCAAGTCAGCTTAACACACGCACGCCGATAGTGGTGAACGCTGCTTTCTGAGCGGCTGGCGAGGTCAGTCTTAGGAAAGTTGGTGGCAGACGCGAACAGCCCCACTGGAATTGGTAACTTGGAAGGCGCAGCTCCACGGACACAGCCACGATATGCCTTCTGCCGCCACACAGCCCCTGACCTGCCGCAGTGCCAGGCATGAAGCCTCTGCCCAGCCAGGCCTCGGGGTCCTCTCTAGGGAAACACAGGCTCCTTCTCCTCTCCTGGCTTTCTCTAGGCCCTCCAGACACCAGATGGAAATCTAATGGAACCCACACACCATGCATTCTGCAGGGCTGAGCTCGGCTTCCTCCAGGACACCACAGGAGCCGTCTTGGTTGCATGTTTGTCCAAATTTAAAACTTCACCCGGCCGAGGTGGGCCATCTGTGGCTTCGTCTGAGATGCTTACTTTTCGCAGGATTTTCTTGGAGCTCTGGGACCTGGTGGGGCGCTCACTCCATGCAGTTGCTTTCACTCCACCAGGGACATCGGGTATGTAAATAAACAAAAATATTGCAGGATTGTGCAGGGAACACAGCATTACAGAGGTGCTGGTGGTTTTGCTGTGAGGAGGGAACATGGACCAGAGGACTGCGTTTTCTACACACACTGAGCTGTGAAGGAGCTCCGACCCCGCTCCTCTGGGAGCCTGCAGGATGCTCAGCAGCGGCACCCAGGCTGCCTCAGGGACCCAGGTGCATTGGGAACAACTTGGCAATTTTCATCCACTGATTTCTGTTCTCCAGATCCTGCTTTCAGGATAGGGAAAGACTCAGGGGCAAAGTCATGGGACAAAGAGGTCTGAGGGCCCCCACCTCTGTGGCACTGGAGGCCTGTGTAACATCAGCCTCCCTGGTGATTTTGCAGAAGAGGGGTTGGCGTTCCTTAGATGCTCACTTAAAGGCTTTTCTTGAATTTAACAGAAGCTGGGAAGTAAATATTACTTTCTTTATGAAACAACTACTTTTTCCAAGGGAATCTCTTTCTCTAGATGGCCTGAAATGATTCTTCTGGTTTTTATCTTTTTAAATCCAGATGAATGCAAATAACCATGAATCAGCCCCAAACGGAGGACCTCATCTGTTTGCACCCTCATGTCAGCACACAAATGAGAATTTAAAGATCCTAATTAAACCCGGGCTCAAAATATCTTCCTGAGTAGACCAGAAAGCACCAGTTTCACAAAAAAACAGAAATATGCATCTTCCCAATGTGGTTTTTAGTTTATTTTCTGTGTTTTAATGGTATTCAAATTTGAAGTTGATTGCTAAAGCAGTAACTACCGTTAATGTGTGTAAACAGATTTGTGGATATTTAACGATTTAGGAAACTGTGGACGACTACTTTACATAATCAACAGGTAGACAGACAGATGTCAGCACACACAACCGTCAACCCTCAGTTGCTCAAGGCTGAATGTGGGATCTCTCATCTCAGGCTTGTTTGAAATCCTCAATTAGTGAAAAGCCCTTGGAAGGCACCTCTAACATTGTGGTCAGGAGCCCAGATTTTGGAGCTAGAATTTAAACATAGGGATAGGGATTTCATTCCAAGCATCCCACCAACTGCCTGAGCCTGTGTCAGCGAGCCAGCCCACCTCCCTGTGCTGATTGTCTCATCCGTGCAGTGGGGGTGTGGACACCTGGTCCTGGGGACCCCAGCATCTGGCTTCAATGTCGATGTCCTTCCGCCGACCAGGAGGGAGGCCCTTCTCCACTCTGCTGCAGGCGTGGGTCACCTGTGAGTCCCTGCAGGCCTCCACTCTCTGCTGGAGGTGCCCGTGAGCTGGACAATGGCTGGGGCTGATTCATAAAATAAACAACAACATGCAGAGGACAGAATCCACTTGTCAGACATGGGGGAAAAGGTAGTCAGCTCCTGACCTTGCAAAGCCTCAGGCACCAAGAGAGACTCAGCCTCGTATGACTCAGTCCCTGCTTTTGCTCTATACAGATCCTTCATTTTAAAGCCGTATTTTCTTCATTTTCCCTAGATGGATTCTTTACTGTAACTAATTATGTCGGATTAAAACATGCTAACAACACAAGACTGAAATGCCTCAATGTCTGTAACCCTGGAAGTTACAGCTGTGCTCAGCCACCAGCCTATGTATGCCGTGTATGTGCCTATGTATGCCGTGCCTGCTCTAACGCATCTCCTTGCACACGTGGGAGGGCCTTCCTGCCGCAGGCCAGAGGCTATTGTTTGGCGAACGCCTACCTGCCCCTCCCTGGTGTGGAACACGCCTGCTCCTGCGTGCTGGCTGTGGCACACCCACCGTGGAGTGAAGGTCGGGCGGTCCCCCCAGGGGCTGGATCCTGTGGGCTGTCTTGTCACCCAGCAGCAATGCGTGGTATGAGGCCTGCATAGACCAAAGCGAGGGGCAGAGAGAACGGGTCCTGGCCACGGAGCCAGTGAGAGGAAGCAGGAGGTGGGCAGTGGGAGGCCCAGGCCTGGTTTTCCACCTCAGAAAGTGGGATGGGTCTGCCCGTCAGGAGCACCCTGGTCTGTCCCACCCAGCAGCCGTGGCAGACTCGGGCTTCCTGACGGTGCCGTGGGCAGAGGCCTCCCCCTGAAGGCCTCCTCCTCCCTCTTCCAGGTCCCCAACGTGAACCCAAAAGTATCTGAGACAAGCCTCAACCAATTTAGAAAGTTTATTTTGCCGAGGTTAAGGACACACCTGTGACACAGCCTCAGGAGGTCCTGACGCCATGTGCCCAGTGTGGTCGGAGCACAGCTTGGTTTTATACATTTTAGAGAGAATTGAGGCATCATTCAATACGTGTAGGATTGACATTGGTTCAGTCTGGAAAGACGGGACAACTCAAAGCAGCGGCTTCCAGGTCATAACATTTTTCTGATTGGCAATTGGTTGAAAGAGTTATGATCAGTAGAAAGGAAGGTCTGGGTTAGGATAAGGGGTGTGGAGACCAGGGTTTGACCATGCAGATCTCTGGGTAGCAGGCTTTGGAGGGAACAGATGGTCACTGTTTCTCATCGGACTCAGGTCTTTGTTGATGTTAAGGCTGGTTGGCTTTTCCTGAATTCCACAATGGAGGGAGGTATCATGAGGCATGTCCGACCCCCTCTTCCATCATGTCTGAACCAGTTTTTCAGGTTAACTCTGGAATGCCCTTGGCTGAGAAGAGGGGTCCATTTGGATGGTTGGGGGGCCTTAGAATTTTATTTTTGGCTTACACCAGCGTTTAGACAACCGCGTCACATGTCAGAGTGCCTCGGCATCCTCTGTCAGAAACCCCTATTCAGGGAGTGGGGAAAGGGCTTAAGACCCACAGAAGTACCCCGTGGTCTTGATGCAGGTGGCTGCCTGCCTGCTCCAGGAGTTTGGGGGTCATTCTCCTACCCCAATTCATCTAAGAGGCAGCATTTGCCATGGCAGGCCTCCTACCTGCAGGCTCATCTCATCTGAGGGTGGGAGCTGTGACCAAGGCATCTCTTCTCTCTCCTCAGCGTCTCAGAGGCAGCACGCATTGTGGGGCCTCATGGAACTAGTGTGACTTCCAGACCCACAACTTACTGCCTGTGTGCTGGGCAAGGAGTTTTCTTTTCCTCAGCCTTGGCTTGTTCATCTGTAAAACAGGACAATAATCGTAACTGCCTCTTAGGGATACAACGGGGATGAACAGAAATGACACTCGCTGTTACTTGGAAGAGCACCTGCTATGCAGTCAGCCCTTGAGAAATGTCAGCTGCCATTTATCACATGGTATTTTGTGTTTCCTGTTTCGTATTCTAGGCTGCTTTATGTAGAGGACCTTGTCTTATTTTGCCCTGTATTTCATCAGTGCCTTGCACAATAAATTCTGATTGATTCTTTTCCCCGAGGGACAGGGATGGGGGTGAAATAAAAGCAGAAATGCTTGAGAACTGGTGTCTGTGACGTTCTGGGCATGGCCGAGCCTGTCTGCAGTCAGGGCTCTGACAGACACCCCCTCAGCTCCTTTCAGGCTTCCCTTTAGGGTAGGGCTTCAGAGACAGCAGTGCACGAGCTGACCCAGAGGCAAGCGTGCTTTGGGGTGGGGGCCCACCATGCACACTCAGTGGATGTTGTGATTGCAATGAGGAGTGACACTGAGTCCTTGTCCTTGGGCATCCAGTCTGACGAGGACAATGTTTGTGTCAGCAGTCACAAAATAACACACCCAAGCTGTGAAATCAGAGAGGAAGGAACGCTTAGATCAGAAAACAATGCTTAGAGGGCCACACAGCCGACGGCATAACTCCAAAGCACACTAACTTAACCTTTGAATGTGCTGTTGCCTCAGACTCTAGCTTCCAATTTAAACAGAAATAAAGGTACATGTAATTAAAGAGTGAGCAGGCAGTTTCACTGATGAGCATTTCCTCACCAAAAATAGACTGATGATTTCACTAAAAGTGACTAAATGGAACAGCTGATATATGTGTAATTTCCTCCTAAGGTTGGCTTTGGGTCCAAAATCTACCCAGCATCTATGTGCATGGCTGCAGAACTCTCACGGAAATGGAGAGGAGAAAGGCAGTTACCAGGGGCTAGGATGTCCGTCAGAGCACGCGAGGTTTCAGGTAGACAGGAGGGACAGGTTCTGGGGATCTGTCACACAGCATGGTGATCATAGTTAATGATAATGTATCATGTATTTCAGGACAGCCAAAAGAAAGGACTCTAAATGCTCTCATTACAGTAAGTCTTTGAGGTGGTGGCTATGTCAGCCTGATATGATCATCCCACAATGTGTATATGTATCAAGACATCACATTGCACCCAATACATATATACAATTATTATTTGTGAATTAAGAATAAAACTCTAAAAGGCTAACTATGTAGCTTTGATTTCCTTATGATTCAACTCGTTATTCAGGTTCTTTTAAGGGGACCATCCTGTGAGCACAGTCGTGGGGGACAGGCCTCACCAGCAGCAGCAAAGTCAGAGAGTTAGCCAAGACAGAGGCCAACTTCAAGTGAGTCACAGGAAAGGTCACCCCAACATACGCCTCCTCAAAACTGCATTGCCTGCATACTTAATTGTATCAAAATGTACCCTTTAAACAGGTTACTTTAATTTGAAGGATGAGGCACGTGGGGGTGAGTTATTTCTGTATTTTTTCTAAAAAAATGTTATGTTTGCACACAGTTGGATGATAATGGCAATAACAACAGCAGCTGGTATTTGAGTGCTGGATGCTGAGCTTAACAGTGCCGGGTACCAGGCTAAGCACCTCCATCCACTGTCATCCAACCTCCTAACACCCCTATGACACCAGCACTGTTCCTACGGAAGAGACGAGTGCAGGATGCTGCAGGCGTACATCTCTGTGCCAAGATGCAGAGCCTTGGCCTTGAGGAGTGATTATGATGATGCCTCTTGCAGAAGAGGAACCCGTGGCTCAGAGACCCCAATTGCCCCGTAGTGGTCATGCAGCTGGGGGAAGGTGGTGGCAGAACTCAACTCTGGTTCTTCTGATCCCAAGTTTAGGGCTTTTCCCACCATACAATGGCTACAATAAGGGATTTTTCCTTTTCATGCCTTCACTCAAATTTGCCATCCGCCTTTAGGTAATTTGAGATTTAGAATAATTAAATAGTCAGATAATTTGAACTATTTGGTTGGACATCGGTTTTTACCAGTCCCTGATTTTGAAATTAATGAAGCTTTATTGTAATTGTCAGAAAACAGGGCTCATTACATGACATAGAGACTGCCTCTTCCACAGAAACACAAAGGGATATGAAGATGGAAGTCAGGGAAGATCATCTTCCATTTTCTCTGATTATCCCGGAGGCTTCGGTTTGTGTTTGGCTGGACTCTCCTGGCAGTGTTTCTCCTACTTCCCGGGTCTAGACGGGGTGTGTTGTTTGAGAGGGGGCTTCGAGGTGTGTCCCACCTCCATGTGGACTCTGGCCCTGCGTCCCTCTGCCATCTGCACTCCCAAGCCCCCTCTTGGCTCTCTCCAGTGAGGCACCACCCGCCCCCACTGCCCCACCACCCGCCCCCGCTGTGAAACAAAGTTCAAAGGGGAAAGGAGCCTGGGGACTCGGGGCAACGGTCCTGGATTCCGCATTGCCCCACCCACGTGCAAATCTAACCTTTCTGATTTTTCAGCCGTATAAACCCAAAGACAGGATTTCAACAGGAAAATATTTACTAAAGGCTTTCTCCTTTATAATCTATGGATTTTAGTATCCCACCACTTTGGCTGAATGTCAATTTTACCCTGAGGACTACTGCTGCAAATTTGAGCACATTTTATTTATTCATGCCATTCAAAATATTAGTGTTGGAAATGAGTAAAGTTTGAGTCTTGCAATGTTCCCATTTAAAGTTCATTTTCCAATGTGAATAATGCTGGTAATTTGCCATGGTAATCGGAGCCAATAGGCAAAATGTGGGCAACAAAAAGTGGGAGCTAACAGAGCAGCCTTTTGCTTTGCTTTTCCGTTAAGCACGGGAATGCACAGCTCATCAAATATGGGGCCAACTCCCCACTTAACCCTGGAGCTGGAAGCACCTGGTTATCACTATTGTGTAACGAGAAACCACACACCCTCTCCTCTGACCATTGCTGGTCCAACGTGCAGCCGGTGCCCATTTGTGCATTCATAGCTTCAAGGCTGGGTATCTTAAACCTCTGCTCTGAGGGTGCCAGGCAAAGCCTCAGGGCATCACCAAGGATTCTCCAGAACCCCCACCCACCCAGTCCCACCTACCACCATCGTCCCTGCGAGAAGCCGAGCTGCTTTGTAAGGGTTCACAGGAGGGCGCGTTTCCCCACGGTGTGAGCTCTTTCCTGGGAGGCATGAAAGACTGGTGCAAGACACATTAACCCTGCCCCGCTGCCAAGAGACCCTTCAGCAGGCATTTTCTAAATGGCTAAATCACCAACAATAATGGGGACAGCTGGATGTCTCTCTTTTTCATATATAAAAAAGAATTTATGCTGCAGATGACTTTTCTGTTGATTATTCAGGCTTTTTTGAACAGGTTTTAGAGTCTCTCTGTGCAGGGCTTTCTATATTGCAAAGCACTATCTCACCTGCCCCCAGTCCAGCCTCTCTCGTCCCCTCCCCAGCCACTCACCTGTCCTCTGCAGGAGCTGGGGCATCTGGATGGCAACCTATGCCTTCCTGATATTGTCTGGAGGGGAAGTCACCCCTCAAGGACTGAAGGTGGGCCAGACCATGAGGGTCTCTAAGGCCCACCTTCCTCTCCCACTCAAGGACTGGAGTTGGACCCCACAGATGTGCTGAGTTCTATATCTCGAGGATTTACAGTGTATGGTTGGATTTGTTTTCCGAGACCTTCTGGGAATCCACCTCAAAAGAGCATCAGGTAGTGTCCATGAAGATAGGCTGCCACAGCTCAGATTCAGACCTGAAACAACCCCATTTCTGCCTCAACTACTTGCTTGCTTTAGATCTTTGGCCGAGCTACCAAATCTCCCTAAAACTCTTTTGCTACAGTTATAAAATGGGACGGTTCTTCACATAGTTGTTGGGTGGATTAAATAATGTGTTAACAGTTCCCAGCAGGGATCTCAATCGAGAGCCTCGCAGGGTGCTACCCGTGCTGTGGGTGGAGGCAGCCATCGGTAGTAACAGCTATAGTGCAGGTCCAGTGCAACAGTTTAACCTTCCTAGCCCTGAGAGCATCCTCATAATTCACCTTACATCTAGGGTGCTTGAAGCAAAGCAAAACAACAAACTGCTGACCTTACCATGACTGAGACGTGCCCTCGGTGCCAGGCCCTGGATCACTGTCCTCACCAAGACATGTGGCCCCTCACACAGCTGCAGACCCAGCCCTGTCACCCTGCCGGTCAGGGTCCCTCAAAGGACATCCATGTGCCTGGGTAACGTCTGAGCTTCACGTGGGAGCGATCTCTGCCTGTTTCTGTGCTGATGTATCCCTGGCAGGTATAATCGTGTCTGACCCTGAGAAGCATTCCATAAATATTTGATGAATTAACAGATGAACTCCTTGGCCTGGAATCGAGACCCTACACTCTCCTGTAGTGAGTGGCCCTTTCAGTTTAATTTCTCATAACTACTCTGCACAAATTCTTACTCAGGCCAGACTGATCTACTCTTTGTTCTTATCCCAAAAACAAATGTTTCCACCTCTGAACTGCTTCAGGCTATGGCTTCTACTAAGTTTTTATGATCATTTAATCCCTGACAATTTAGATTCTTTCTGGGCTTTGAAGGAATCACATAAACTATCTCTTCCAGGGAGGCTTCCCTGACTACCCCACTCCCAGTCCCTACCCAGAAGTGGCCTCTTCCTCCTGCAAGTATCTGTACAAGTCCAGTGAGCCACATGAAGGACACAGGCCATAGGCTGTCTACACTGGTTATTCTCATGATGGACAACACTCCACTGCTCAGGCATGTGTTATAGGCTGTCTACACTAGTTATTCTCACGATCATCAACACTCCACCAATAAGCCACATGAAGGACACAGGCCATATAGGCTGTCTACAGAAGTCATTCTCAAGATCGTCAACACTCCTCTGATGAACCACATGGAGGGCATGTGCCATAGGCTGTCCACACCAGTTATTCTCATGATGGACAACACCCCACCAATGAGCCACTTGTAGGACACGTGTCCTAAGCTGTGCACACTACCATTAATTCACAGGATTGTTAACAAATATAGAGATCATTGCAGCCCCTTAATTATAAAGTGGTTTATGAGGATTAATTGAAAACATGCACCTAAAGCATTTAGAAAGTGTCTGGCAAGTAGCACGATTTCAATGACCTTAGCTAGAACTCCTATTAACCAATAGAAAGTCAGTAGAAACAGTAACCACTTGTCCACAAGGTCTGTGGTATATTACACATGTATGACATGTACAGGAGAAAGAAAGACAAGCATACAAATTATGCCAGGAAAGGACACAGCTTGAAAGTGCTGTAAGACACCAAGGGTTCCCATGCTGGGAAGCCTTTATAAAGGAGCTGGCATTTGACCTCCATAGAGAAACACAGGTTTGTCTACCTTCTGTGATGCAAGTTCAAGTGGACGGAACTAGTAAGCACATGGTTTTTGAGCACCCTAGGAGCCTCTGTAGAGCTTCTGACGTAGGCACCGAATTGAAAGATATGATGGGAAGGTGCGGATTGGTCATAATACACAATGAGATAACTCAGTTCTCTGGGTTATGGGAAAGTGTCTTCCCTTATTTTAGAAAGGGACCATGCAATATAACTTGGCCCATGTGCTCAGAACACTAAATCTGAATGCATTTATCCATCCTAGGAGATGAAATGAACCCCTTGCAGGCCCATGAGCATATTCTGTAATTTGCATGCAAAAAATTAATCAGGCACAAGCTTATTTTTGAGCACTTTAGCTGCTTCTCCTGTAAACCAAGTGCCAGGTGGGGAAGAAAATCACATTATTGCAAAGTCTGATTAGTTGGGTTTGCAGTAACCAAAGTTGACTGTATATATTATATCCCAAGTGATTAAAACATTAAACATCCCTAGTGTTAAAGAAGTATGTCTCCCTATCTGAATTCTAAGCTGCTGTCTAGCTTCTAACACCCTATGTCATCAATGGCAGTATCATTTACATACAGTAATTCAACTATGGAAAACTACATAGAGCTGCAATCATGTATGTGATTTAATTAAAAACCAATCACTTAAAATACCTGTGGCACAGTAGACACAGTTCTGTGGAGAGACCCGGAAAGGGCTTCACTGGGGAAATGGAAGGACGCAGTGCAAAAAAGCAAGATCTGTGTTGAAAGCTGTGTTGGTTATCAGTAAGACGGGTTTGTGGCCAAGCACAGAAATATTTCAGGTCTCTGAGCACCACGTAAACACCAAGGTGGTCTCGAAAGGACAGGGAGGGGAGGAAGATCTGCAGTTAGTAAATGGGACCCCAACACAACCCATTCTAACTCCACTTCCTGGAGAAAGAGATTAATTACTCAGGCAGTGAGGTTATCACTGGAGCTGAGCTGTGCCAACCTGTGGGGACCCCAGCCAGGAGGTGAGACTTGCTGAAGCCGTCATGGGAAATCACGCTGGTTAAATATCAAAGAGAGAAAATTTAACCAGCTTACTACAAATCTCTCTACATTTTAATTAGTTCACCACCCAAAGTAAGGAAAGTTTTTTAAATTTTTGCTTTTCTCTTTTTACATTTGCCTTTATAAAATGTTAGTTGAAAAATATGCTTCATATAAATGTCAAGCGCCCCTCAATTTAAAATGTAAAGAATAAAGAAAAAAGGATTATAGAGGAGGAGATGGGGTTGGCTTTTTAAACGGAAAAAAAAGTTCTCATGGAAGTTTCCTGGGCTTAGGAGTGTAGCGAGAGCAGTCACCCAGGAACCTAGTGCCACATCCTCCCCATGCAGCCCTGCGGTCCCTGAGGGGCAGGATGCTGGGGCACTCTGGGGTGACAGTCTCTGTGCACCCCTCGGTGCTGCTCCTGAGCCCTGCTGGCACCGTGCTGAGAAATCACGCAAATTGTCTTTCACCAAGGCTGGACTTGCACGAGAGCTGGACAGATTCTCAGAAACAAGTGCTGGAGCTATCCAATCCATATCTTTCCATTGGACCAGGATCGACCAGCACAAAGCATATAAGCGCATGGTGCTTTGCCTGGGCCTCCTATTGCATACCTGAATCCACAAACCACCAACACACAGAAATCTAGCATTCCATAGGTGAGGCCCTAATAATGGCTACTTTCATAACAAAAATGTTTTCTACTGGCCAGCAGAACAGTGAGGAGGAGCTAGTTCCTGAGGCCTGGGGACCCCCCAGCACATGCTCAAGACCTGCCTCCAGGCCTGAAGAGCCCCTAAGTGGAGATGAGGTCATCATCTGGACCCACCAAACGTGTGACATCAGCAATAGACCAACTCATCATGGATCCACCACACATGTCAAATCAATCATGAGTTATGGTGCAGAGACATTTTCTATTTATAAGTTGTAAGATTTCATGCACTATTTGCATAAGTCTTCAATTTGATTGCCACGTTTTCTTTGTCTTTTTCTCATGGATTTCTCTCTTCTATGACTCAGAGTAAATAACATTGTTGCCGTAACCCACGGCCCCCAAAGCCAGTGGCGCACTATAAATAAGCCGTGCGTGCTCAGCCTGTAGCTAATTCCTTCACCCTGGCCCCAACCCTCTCGTGGCTCCATCCTGGGGTTCTCTGAATCCAGCTTGTAGGGAGGGAAGAGAGAAACGGGGGATTGAGAAAGAGGAGGAAAAGAGCCTAGGAGGCAAACACGGAGCATCACTCAGGAATTTCACGGAGCGTCACTTAGGAATTTCACGGAGCATCACTTAGGAATATCATAGAGCATCACTCAGGAATATCACAGAGCATCACTTAGGAATTTCATAGAGCATCACTCAGGAATATCACGGAGCATCACTCAGGAATTTCACGGAGCATCACTCAGGAATTTCACGGAGCATCACTCAGGAATTTCACGGAGCGTCACTTAGGAATTTCACGGAGCATCACTTAGGAATTTCAGGATCCACACCTAAAAATGGCAAACACAATTTTCTCCAGCACTCAACAGGCAGCCCTGGTCACACAGCCCTCCTAGATGCTGGAAGCAAGGAGATGTCATGTGTCAAGGAAGGAGGGATAGTCCACACCTGCATGTCCACATGTTTCTAGATAAAGCCTATGAGGGGCAGAGAGCAAGTGGTGCCTGCCCCTAAGGTGTACCCACCAGGCTAACACATGACATGGGTTCAGAAAGGGAGCCGCTCAGGTGACATCATGTTTTGTTTGATGGAACTAATGTTTGTGTCCCCCGAAATTCATATGTTGAAGCCCTAATTCCCAGTGTGGCTGTATTTGGAGATGGGGCCTCTAAGGAAGTAGTTCAGGTTAAGTGAGGCCATGAGAGTGGGGTCCTGATCTGATGGGATTAGTGTTCTTGTAAGAGGTGACACCGGAGAGTGAGCTCACTCACTCTGAGCCAACAAGGTGATGCTGCCACAGACATTCAGTTGAGAACATCCTGTCCCTGACCTCCCCCAAATTCACATCCTTCTTGCATGGCAAATGCACTCATCCCATCCCAACAGCCCCAGAAGTCTTAGCTCATTCCAGCATCAGCACTAAGGTGTGAAGTCCTGAGCCTCAACAAAACTTCACCTGAATCAGGAATGGGTGGGACTCGGGGTGCAATTTGCCCACCCTGAAGCTGAGCTCTCCCCTCCAGCCGTGAACCACGGAACCCAAACAAGTTCCATGTTCCCAAAATATAACAGTGAGCCAAGCATGGAGTAGACGTCCCTTTCCAAGAGAGAGAAAGAGGCAACAAGGAAAGGATGGCAGGGCCCAAGCAAGTCCAAAACCCTAAGGAAGTACTTACGGCAAAATGAGGTCATGGAGTTGAGGCAGCTTATCCAGTGGATTAGTGTCCTTATTAAAGATGACCCCACAGGCCAGGAACGGTGACTCACACCTGTAATCCCAGCACTTTGGGAGGCCAAGGCAGGAGGACTGCTTGAGCCCAGGAGTTTGAGACCAGCCTGAGCAACACATTGAGACCCTGCCTCTACAAAATACTGAAAAATTAGCCAGGTATGGCACCCTGTGTCTGCGGTCCCAACTACTTGGCAGGCTGAGCTAAGAGGATGACTTGGGCCCTGGAAGTTGAGGCTGCAGTGAGCTATGATCACGCCACTGCGCTCCAGCCTGAGCAACAGAGGGAGACTATGTCTCAAAATCAAACAGACAAACAAACAAACAAATGATGCCATGGAGTCTGGTCCTGCTCTGTCTTCATGCATACACAAAGGAGAGTTCATGTAGCACATGACAAGATGGCAGCACCCACGCGCCAAGAGAAAAGGCCTCAGAAAGAAACTGACCTGGCCGACACCATCATCTTGGGCTTCAGCTTTCAGAACCATTAAGAACGTTAATTTCCGTTGCTTAAGCTGCCTAGTCTATGGTATTCTTTTACGGCAGCCCCAGCAGATGAAGACAGTGTGAAAAGGTTGGGGAAAAAAATGCTGATAATAACTGGTGGGAAAAATAACCAACTTTTTTCTGAAATTTTACTTTTTAGATAATTCATCCTTGAGAGTTTCACTTATCCATACACGCAGTCATTCATTCGAGAGGTTGATGACAGCCATGATCACTCATGGTGCTATGGCAGGACCACGAAAATGCAAAACGCATCCAAGCCATGCTCCCAGCCACAGATGCAGCACTGCATAGGAGTCACACCATAAAACATGAACTGCTAGGTAATCATGCAGGAAAAAACATGAGTCGACCCCTACATGAATGTTGCTGGAGTTCTAAAGGCAGTGGATTGCAGATGAGGGAGAGGACCTCCAAACAGGGGAATAGGAAACCTTTCGGGCCTAGGAAGGAGTTTTAGAGACTGAGGCAGGGCAGGACATAATGGATTGAGAAACAGGCTATGCCATAAAAAAAAAAAAAGAATGAAATCATGTTCTTTGCAGCTACATGGATGCAGCTGGAGGCCGTCATCCTAAACGAATTAACAGAAAAAGCCAAATACCACATGTTCTCACTTATGAGTGGAAGATAAACATAAGAGTACTCACAGACATCAAGATGGGAAGAGCAGACACTGGGGAATACTGGTGGGGAGGGAGGGGGTTGAGAAACTAACTACCAAGTACTGTGCTCACTACCTGGGTCACTTGTACACCAAACTTCAGCATCACTCAAACCTGCACATGTACCCACTGAACCCAAAATATAAGTTGAAACTTAAAAAAAAAAAAAGAAAAAAAGGACCGGGTGTGGTGGCTCACACCTGTAATCCCAGCACTTTTGGGAGGCCAAGGCGGGAGGATCACCTGAGGTCAGGAGTGCTAGACCAACCTGACCAACATGGCAAAACTCCATCTCTACTAAAAAGTACAAAATAAACTAAAATTAGCCAGGCATAGTGGCGCGCGCCTGTAGTCCCAGCTACTTGGGAGGCTGAGGCACTAGAATTGCTTGAACCTGGGAGGCGGAGGTTGCAGTGAGCCGAGATCATGCCACTGAGGTCCAGCCTGGGTGACAGAACTAGACTCTGTCTCAAAAAGGAAAAAAAGAAAGAGAGAGAGAAAGAGGGGAAGGAAGGAAGGAAGGAAGCAGAAAGAAAGAAGCCCACTTGATCACGGTGGATAAGCTTCTTGATGTGCTGGTGGATTCGGTTTGCCAGTATTTTATTGAGGATTTCTGCATCAATGTTCATCAGGGATATTGGTCTAAAATTCTCTTTTTTTGTTGTGTCTCTGCCAGGCTTTGGTATCAGGATGATGCTGGCCTCATAAAATGAGTTAGGGAGGAGTCCCTCTTTTTCTATTGATTGGAATAGTTTCAGAAGGAATGGTACCAGCTCCTCCTTCTACCTCTGGTAGAATTCGGCTGTGAATCCATCTGGTTCTGGACTTTTTTTGGTTGGTAAGCTATTAATTATTGCCTCAATTTCAGAGCCTGTTTTTGGTCTATTCAGAGATTCCACTTCTTCCTGGTTTAGTCTTGGGAGGGTGTATGTGTCGAGGAATTTATCCATTTCTTCTAGATTTTCTAGTTTATTTGCGTAGAGGTGTTTATAGTATTCTCTAATGGTAGTTTGTATTTCTGTGGGACTGGTGGTGATATCCCCTTTATCATTTTTTATTGCATCTATTTGATTCTTCTCTTTCTTCTTTATTAGTCTTGCTAGCGGTCTA
This sequence comes from Homo sapiens, assembly GCF_000001405.40. NCBI lineage: Eukaryota > Metazoa > Chordata > Mammalia > Primates > Hominidae > Homo > Homo sapiens. The sequence continues at coordinate 1,277,348 of NC_000010.11, read as the reverse complement.
TCAATTTTGTTGATCCTTTCAAAAAACCAGCTCCAGGATTCATTAATTTTTTGAAGGGTTTTTTGTGTCTCTATTTCCTTCAGTTCTGCTCTGATCTTAGTTATTTCTTGCCTTCTGCTAGCTTTTGAATGTGTTTGCTCTTGTGTCTCTAGTTCTTTTCATTGTGATGTTAGGGTGTCAATTTCAGATCTTTCCTGCTTTCTCTTGTGGGCATTTAGTGCTATAAATTTCCCTCTACACACTGCTTTGAATGTGTCCCAGAGATTCTGGTATGTTGTGTCTTTGTTCTCCTTGGTTTCAAAGAACATCTTTATTTCTGCCTTCATTTCATTATGTACCCAGTAGTCATTCAGGAGCAGGTTGTTCAGTTTCCATGTAGTTGAGCAGTTTTGAGTGAGTTTCTTAATCCTGAGTTCCAGTTTGATTGCACTGTGGTCTGAAAGACAGTTTGTTATAACTTCTGTTCTTTTACATTTGCTGAGGAGTGCTTTACTTCCAACTAAGTGGTCAATTTTGGAATAAGTGCGGTGTGGTGCTGAGAAGAATGTATATTCTCTTGATTTGGGGTGGAGAGTTCTGTAGATGTCTATTAGGTCTGCTTGGTGCAGAGCTGAGTTCAATTCCTGGATATCCTTGTTAACTTTATGTCTCGTTGATCTGTCTAATGTTGACAGTGGGGTGTTAAAGTCTCCCGTTATTATTGTTTGGGAGTCTAAGTCTTTTCGTAGGTCTCTAAGGACTTGCTTTATGAATCTGGGTGCTCCTGTATTGGGTGAATATGGGCAAGGACTTCATGTCTAAAGCAACGAAAGCCAAAATTGACAAATGGGATCTAATTAAACTAAAGAGCTTCTGCACAGCAAAAGAAACTACCATCAGAGTGAACAGGCAAACTACAAAATGGAAGAAAATTTTTGCAATCTACTCATCTGACAAAGGACTAATATCCAGAATCTACAATGAACTCAAACAAATCTACAAGAAAAAAAACAAACAGCCCCATCAAAAAGTGGGCGAAGGATATGAACAGACACTTCTCAAAAGAAGACATTTATGCAGCCAAAAGACACATGAAAAAATGCTCATCATCACTGGCTATCAGAGAAATGCAAATCAAAGCCACAATGAGACACCATCTCACACCAGTTAGAATGGTGATCATTAAAAAGTCAGGAAACAACAGGTGCTGGAGAGGATGTGGAGAAATAGGAACACTTTTACACTGTTGGTGGGACTGTAAACTAGTTCAACCATTGTGGAAGTCAGTGTGGCGATTCCTCAGGGATCTAGAACTAGAAATACCATTTGACCTAGCCATCCCATTACCAGGTATATACCCAAAGGATTATAAATCATGCTGCTATAAAGACACATGCACACGTATGTTTATTGCGGCACTATTCACAATAGCGAAGACTTGGAACCAAGCCAAATGTCCAACAATGATAGACTGGATTAAGAAAATGTGGCACATATACACCATGGAATACTATGCAGCCATAAAAAATGATGAGTTCGTGTCCTTTGTAGGGACATGGTTGAAGCTGGAAACCATCATTCTCAGCAAACTATTGCAAAGTCAAAAGACCAAACACTGCATGTTCTCACTCATAGGTGGGAACTGAACAATGAGAACACATGGACACAGGAAGGGGAACATCACAACCGGGGCCTGTTGTGGGGTGGGGGGAGGGGGGAGGGATAGCATTAGGAGATATACCTAATGTTAAATGATGAGTTGATGTGTGCAGCACACCAACATGGCACATGTATACATATGTAACTAACCTGCACATTGTGCACATGTACCCTAAAACTTAAATTAAAAAAAAAGAAAAGAAGGAAAGAAAGAAAGACTGGCTGTGGAGTCGGGAATGTGTGGACCTGGGGAGAGGAAGTGCCCTGCCCTTGAGGGCGCCATGGCTGCTGCCTGGAGCCGCCCTGCAGGACTGAATGTGCACACCTGGGTGCCATGGCCTCCTGGCTGTCAGCTGCACCTCCCACCTCCTCCAGCTGGGGTGGGTGGAACTGTCCGGCCAGCAATATCTCCATTCTGCTCTGTCAGTTCAAGGCCATCTCTACCAGCCAGGGGCCCTTGTCACTCTAGAAGAAAGCTGAGCATCACTCTCCACCTGGCATCTGCTGGCCATGCAAGCCCTCCCCAGTGAGTCAAGGAGGCCTTCATCTGTGGAAATGCTGAGGCCCAAACCAAATGTGATTCATTCCACCCCAGCTGTTCCTCAAATGACCCCACAAGGGAGCGGCCAGGGCTCACGCTGCTTGGTTCATAGTGGGAGCCTAGGGCAGGGGTACAGGCCTGCAGGGTGCGGAGAGTGGGTGGCCAGGCTCCACCACGGGCCCCCCTCCAAGGGCCACTGCCTTCTTGGGGTGCCAGCCGCCTTCACCCGTGTCCCGGCCGCAGCTGCTCCAGCCTGCACCCAGAGGCAGTGAAGCCTGCAGCCATCCTTGAGTTCAGATCCTGCTTTTCCTCAGAGCAATCTGGTCACCAGTTCAGTGCAAGGGTCAAGGTCAAGGCAGCTGGGGTACGTCCCGTCTCTGCCACCCCCTGCTGTATGACTGGTTGCGTTGCTTCAATAGCTAAAAAGGATAATATTGGCACCTTCCTGGGCAGGTACCGCGCCTGCTCAGAATGAGTCCCTGTTGTCACTGTTTGTGTGTCTTCCCATCTCTAAGGGGACAGAGCACTCCCTAGGTTTCCACAGTGAAATCTGTGTTTGCATGCACTGTTATGACTCAGTGGTCTGAGACCATCCTGATGTCCTGTGCTGGAGCCTCTCAAGCAGACACAAAGTGACACAGAGAGGCCTCCTGTGCTGGACAAGCTATCACTTCTTAGACATTTGAAACTTCATCCTAAAAAAAAAACAAAGAGCTACACACGTCATTGGGAATAACTCTGGAGCACAGCGTGTGCTGGAATCAGATGCCTGGCACCAGAAAAGCTGTTTTAGAAGCAAAAGATGTAGTTTTGTCCTTGAATCAACATTAACACCCATGAATCACCCAGAATCGGATACCAGAGCTGGCAACGACAGTGAACCCCGTGGGACAGATGTGGCCCCCAGGCTGCCATGGCCACTGCCTGAGCTGGGGAAGTGTCCCCGTGGCTGGAGTCCAGGACGCCTGTGCAGCAATGCTGATCGGTGCTGCCCTCGCCTGCCCATGTGCCGTGGGGCGGACCGGCGGGAGAGCAGTCTGCATTCTGTCACCTGAGAAAGGGAAGCTCTCCTACTCATCCTTCAAGGTTTATCTCAGACATCAGCTTTGGACAAGGCTTTCTAGACCCTCTTCCCAGTGGGAAGCCCTTCAGTGCCCTGTCCCCTCTGCAGGGCCGGTGAGGATGAGCACTGCAAGTCAAGGCCCAGCACAAGCCTCCCCACCTCCCAGACCTGCTGGCAACCCACGAGCCCCGGGCCTGGCAGAGGTCCCACCCGTCACCCGGTCCCAGAGCCAGGGCTGCCCCATCAACCCTGTGCCCGGATGCTTTCCCTGGGAGATGCGGGAGGTCCTGGCAGGATGGGGCTTGCAGCACACGCCCTGCAGGAGCCTGTGGTGGGGCTGCTTATGTCACCTTCACCGTCTGTCATGGTGCTGAGAAGCTGACTTCTCGAGGCCTGAGGTGATAGCTGAGGCCTGTTGGGGCTCCAGGACTCTGTGGGCCTCTGTCCCCCTGCATCTTCTTCTCCACCCCAGCTCAGAGCTCTCAGCGTGCAAGGTCGTGGGGGGCACAGGCGGGGCCGGACAACCTCACAGCCAGGCCTGACCTTTAGATGTGGGCAGCCAGCCTTCTAGGGGAGAACCAAGGACCATCACGAAGGCTCCCGCCTGCCACCCACCTTGTGGACGTCGTTCATGGCAACTGTGTGTGATTTGGGCACCAAGGAAGACCAGGTTATCACAGGGGCCTGGCCCAGTGGCTGGAGCCTGTAATCCTAGCGCTTTGGGAGGCTGAGGTGAGAGGATCATTTGAGCCCAAAAATTCAAGGTTGCAGTGAGCCGTGATAGTGCCACTGCACTCCAGCGTGGGCAGCAGAGAGAAACCCTGTCTCAAAGAAAAATAAAAAAATTAAGAATCACGCTCTCCCTTGACAGCATGCATTGAAAGAGTAAACGAGGGTGCAGCAGGTTGAACAGCCCCAGAAAGACACGTCCAACCCCATGACGGTGACTGAGAAAACGTTCTCTGCAGATATCCTCAAGTTAAGGACTTTGAGATGGCCTCATCCTGGATTGCCCAAGTGGGCCCTAAATTCAATGACAATTGTCCCTACAAGAGGCAGAAGAGCAGACACAGACACAGAGGAGAAGGCCACGTGGGGATAGAGGCGGAGACTGCAGTGATGCGGCCACCACCCAGGGACGCCCGGAGGCCTGGAGCCAGGAGAGGCAGGAAGGCTCCCCAGAGCCTCAGGAGGCAGCACCGCCCCTGGACACCTCAGTCTCAGATCTCTGCCTCCAGAGCTTCGGGGGGATGAATCCCTGTTGTTTAAAGACCCCCAGTTAAGGGTATTTTTCCAGCAGCCCCAGGACACAGCACACGGGGTGTCCAGGACACAGGTTTCCCTCTCTGGACCTGATTCCAGACACGAAAGACAGGACAGCTGGGAGCAGCCTGGACTGGGAGCACCCAGGAAGACTCCAGGCTCACAGCAGTCCCTGAAAGGTCGGGGTGCCTTTCATCTGCAATCTGTCCTATGTGGGGCTTCCATATTGATTCACGACACAGTGGGAAAAGTAGCTGACATCATTTACAGGCTACAGCGGCTTGAGGCCCTCAAACCCCGGGGTGAGCAGAGGAGACTGCGCCGGGCCCTGCACTTCTGCCCTTGACTGCAGAAGAATTAAGAGGGAGAGGTGCTAGGTTGTTTTGTGGCATGTTTTTTGCTTCTGGCAGGCAGGGCTGTTTTCACACAAACATGTTTTATTGCCTACAAGTGGGATTTTTAAAAACTGTCTATCTTTCTTAGCGTTATTAATCAGAGAGCTGTCCTTATCAGCAGCAATGCCTGCGCAGCATCAGCGTCCACACACGCCCGGTGGAAATGTGGAAACCAGGCCCAATGCTGCACAGTATCAACATCAACACATGCCTGGTGGTAATGGGGAAGCCCAGTCCACCAGGAAAAGGGACTGTTTCCTGCCTCCTGGATGAGATGATGAATTGATTTGGCTGCTCAGAGGCTCAGGCAATGCCTGTGGTGACTGGGGGAGATGATGATAATGATGAAAATAATAAGAGTAATAGTCACAGCCGTCATCTCTGAGCACTTCCTACCAAGTGTGGGGCACTGTGCTGAGCACTTAAGACACCGTATTGCATTTAATCCTTACGAAAACACCATAAGGTGGAAATGAAGATGATTCACTTGTAAATTAGGAAAATGGGCTCCGAGGAGTTAACGACTCACCCAGGCTCCTGAGTGGCAGAACTGAGGGTCCAACCAGGCTTCCCTACTCCAAGGCCTGCAACGGCTATGCCAGCCAAACTGCCCCCGAAGAAAAGCTTGGGGCCCCATGTCAAGGAAAGGGCAGTGCTGCAGCCTTGGGCCCAGAGGAGCCGGGGAAAGGGCGGCCACAGAGCCACACTGTGTGTGCTGTCTTCCCAGAGACCAGGAGTCACCTTATCACTAATCAGATTATGTTAAGGGGTGTGCAGGGGCACACGTGTATGTGTATGTGTGTGTCTGTGTGTGTGCATGTGTGTGCATATTCGTGTGTGCACGTGTGCCCTAGGTGTGTTGTGTGTTGCATGTGAATGTGTGCATCTGTGTGCATGTGCAGGAAGGTGAGAAGAAGTTGTGGAGAGAGCCACAGCGCCAGCCATTTTGCCAGAAGAGCACCCTGAGACTGCTGGCTGTGTAGACACTGGCTCTGGAATACTCAGAAGACTGCGGTGGCCCATCATCCCTATAAAAATTCCCTCCCCGCCGAAAGACTCCTCCAGTCACTGCTCTGAGAGGCAGGGAGAGGAAGTAGACACTGTTTCCATGGGGAGGTTGGCAGAGCTCAGGGTTTCTGCTGAGAGCAATGCTGGGGTTAACCACTCATAAGCCACTCAATATGATTCTGAGTTTTGGGGGCACAGCCAGGGAGAGGCCGTGTGTGGTCACGTGGTGACAAGGCTGTGAGGAGGGGAGGAGAGCAGGCCCATGTGTGGCCACATGGGGATGAGGCTGTGAGGACGGGGAGGACAGTGCCCCATCATCCTCCACGGCACCTGCTCAGCCCAACGTGGAGGCCTGTGCTTGTGTCTTTCAGGAATTCGCAGACTCCATATCCCAGCTGGTCACACAGAAGTTCCGCGAGGTGACGACGGACCTCACGCCCATGCACGCCCGCCATAAAGCGCTGGCAGGAATCGTCATGACCAAAGGTAGCCACCTCCTCTTTTCCTGTGGGCATTTTCATCTCTAAAGAAAGGAGCATTAGCATCTACCTGATCTTGGAGGCCAAAAGGCTCTCTCTTCCACAACAGGCTGTGACAAAGAAAGACAAAATATTATAGCATATACAGAGATCAGTGGCCAGAGCATATTAGCAGGAAAAGCCATCCTGACCATGGTGCTGTGATTAGGCTGCCGGGGCCCAGCTCTGCTTGGGCATCCCCCGTCTCTGGGGGGCCTGGCCAGCCCCTTCCGGAGGACCCACGTCTCCTGAGAGTCCTAAGTTCCTCTGGTTGGGGTGTAACCCACCCCGAACGCTCTCCTTTCTGCCAAGATTCCCCATCTCAAACTCAGGGAGGGAATTCCACTCTGAGAAACAAGGGTGACCCAGCCGCGAGGGGCATGCTGAGAGCCAAGAAGGCGTCCTCTCCAGTCAGCCAGGATGGGGGAAGATGAATGAGGGCTAAATTTGATCAATCGGCCCTGTGGAAACAACGAGCCACCAACCCATTAATAACAAGCCAGCTGGTTATTTGAATTCAACCATTTCCATTTCCAGAGTTTTTCACGAGTGTGTAATGACCTCCTCGTCACACTCACTACACTCTCACACACTTGGGAGTCATTACTGTGAAATAGTAACTGACCTTTGGATTAAGTTTCACACACACACTTGCTCTGCATGTGCCGGCAAAATCTAAGGCGGAAAAAGACCATCGAGCTGACATACAAACATATTTATGTTACAAAATAAAGGACCAAATGACTGGCATGGTTCTCAGCCACGCTGGGCCAGCAGGGTCCTCTCCAATCTTGCTGGGTGTGGGAACACTGGAACCCAGCACCATGTCTTGGCTGTGTGATCTTCCCAATGTGGGCCTCCTGGTAAAATGAAAATGAAGCTGCTTTCTTACAATGTAGCTGGGTAAGATCTAGAATATGAGATTCTTTGAAAGGTAAAGTTGCTTTATAAACACATCATCCAGTATATAAATATACCAGCCCCACCCTGGCCACCAGCAACTGGCCCCCTTTCAGACACAGATGACACCTGCCTCTTTGTGGAATTAGGAATGTTCTAAATTGAGGGCTAAGAGTTCACCTCCACCAAGCTCATCCCTGCTGGAGGTGACCATTCCTTCATCCTCCAGCATGCAGCCATCAATTGGGCACCGCCATACACTGGGCACTGCTCTGTAGGCCCACGGGGCTGTGAGGAAGAGACACAGCCCCCACTCAGGGTACAGCAGTCTCACTGAGGGAGCAGTGAGTTTGGCAGGCCAAGAGCATCATCCTAGCACAGAATCCAGCCCCACCTGCACAGAGCTCTGCGACCCATGACCAGCCACTGAGCCTCGCTGGGACTCTGTTCTCTCACCTTTAAAATGGGGATAACAGCAACACCTACCTGATCAGGTTATTTTGAAGGCTAAATGTGTTCATGTATTTCCAGCTCTTAGAAAGTTACCTAGCCCATGGCAAGTACCATGTAAGTGTTAGTTAATTATTGGTAATGGCACTATTTACAAATTATTTAGTCAGTGCCTGGCATACAAAGTTCTGGGGAATCAGCAGAACAAGAGACCAAATGCCTACCCTTGTGGCTCTTATATTCTAGTGGGGAATGGTTCATACAGAACAATTTAAATCCAATATAAAAGAACTATAAAAGAATTACATACACACAGGGTTGCTGGTCCATATAAACAAAACTTTGGTAAATTTTAAAATGTGGAGTGTTACACAGATTTCTGCTACAGATTTCTGAATAACTCAGGTTAAATTAGTGTCTTGGTATGAAAAGGAAAGGAGGAAGGGTAGGGGGAGGGAGTAGAAAGGGGAGGGGAGGGGCACCAGCCACCCTGGCTTCCTTATTGTGCAATGCACTTCCAGCCCCAGAGGCATAAGTCAGTATGACCTGGAAAGTAAGTTTGTAGCATTTCTCAGCGCTGGAACTCAATATCTTTCCATCTTTCTGGGAAACAAATCTGGCAAGTTTTGGAAGCTACTGTCAAACTTCATGTGGAAAATAGTAATGTTTTAGAGGCTTGTGGGGAAATGATACTTCTAAGTTGCCAGTGAATACAATGCTTTATGTGTAGGCAATTTATCTATATGAATTAAATTTACTACATGAAAATGAGACTTCATAAGGTAGAGCTTCACTAATTAGTGACTTCTGAATGCTGAAGAATAACTTGCTTAAATTTACTTTCCTATTGTAAAGAGACAAACACTGATTTTAAAAAATTAGAAATGTGCAAAATTACTAATACAAACATTTTTAGATACTCATTTACTTAAAGTTGATGTGCCATTTGATCTTAATTCTAGTTCAGTTATTCAAGCAAATACCTAAGAAATTCTCAGAGTAATATGTCTTGTTCTAGTTGCTGTATATGTCACAATGTTTTAAAATTAAACTTATTTTGAAATAAAACACAATTTGATTTGCCCCTCCTGTGGATGGGATGCCAACTCATTCACATTTATTAGCTCCTGAAAGTTCTGTTTATGAATCAGAGACCATTTCTTAGCCATTATGAGAAATATAATCACAGAAATATATACTTATGAACAGAAGTTTTTATTTTTATCAAATTAATGCAGTCATATGGTAAAGATTCTAAAGAACTTCTGAATGAAAAGCCGTATTCTCCCACTCCACCCCTCACTCCCCTTCACTCTCAGAAGCCACCTCTAACCATTTCAAATTTTTTTCTTGTGATTCTAAGTACTACATACTTCTATATTTCTAGATTTTCAGTTCTAGATAACATCTATTGACTCATGCTATTAACATTTGATACTTTTTTCATTTTCCATTATTATGTTTGTAATGTGCAATTATAGATAAACCTTTATTTCTTATTGCATCAAATTTGGGTGTGGTTTCACTCCCTGTTCTGTGCGTTGAGGGTGGCAGCCCTCAGCCCCTTCCCCACTAGCCAGCCTCTCTCAATTATACGTGTTACATCTTTACACCATCATCACTGGTATTTATATCCTTTCTTATGCCCATAATTAAGTCTTCTCTACTTTGTCTTTTGAGTGATTGTAACAGCTGAACAGCATCTATCTGATGAGAGTGTTGCAGATATTCCCACTACAGAGCCAAGCAGAACCACCTTCAACCCTCCCAGCACAGTTCCGCTGGGAAGGGAGCCTGGCTGCCTGGCGTCAGGACACGCAGAGGCTCCGCCTCCACCCCCAGCTCCAAGTTGTGTTGTGTTTAAGTTTGATTCACTTGTGTTGCTAGACTTGCTTATATCGCTTTTGAAATATTGTGCGTGTTTTTTTCTGGAATGTCTTCTTTTTTCTCTTATTGAAAAAAAAGAAAGAGGAAGATTGTGCCTTTACCATACGTGCTAAGTCACGAGGCTTCTATGGAAGCATCTCACAGAGGGTACCTGCCTCTCTCCCAGAGAACTCCCAGGCCAGGCCCATCGAGGCACGTGCTCTGCAGACCCGGCGTCCTGCTCTTCCAGTGGGACACCATCTCCGGAATCATTGTCTTCCTCCTTGCTTTGTCTCCCCTCATAGAGAGCTTCCTCAAGAAGCATCATCTAAAACGATGGGAGATCAACTTTGTGAATATTCCCACATCTCAAAATTCCTTGATTTGCTTGTCATCCGTCTCAATAGATTCCCAGGGGGGAATTCTAAGCTTTCAATTATTTTCCCTCAGTATTTTGAAGTAATGTTTCCATTATCTTTTATCCAATATTTCTGACCTGCCTCACATTTTCTCTGCAGTGACCAGCACCCACACCTACCCGGGAGGGGGAAAGGTTTTTTTTTTTTTTTTAACTTGGATTTAAGAATATGTTTAGGTGTGAGCCATTCACTTCTCTTGACATATTTAAGCTATTTGTATAGTTTTATGTCATTTGTTTTATGAATTCCTTCATTTACACGCATTTTTGTTAAATTTGCAACACTCTATTAATTTTCTGCTTTTACTTTTAAAATTTGTCTCTTCATTCTTTTACTCGATGTTTTTGGAGATTTCTTAAATTTATCCTACAGCTCATAAACTGCCTTTCCCTCCTAATTTTTGCAACCTATTTTCATTATTTAAATCTTTCCCTTATCCTCCATTCTTCCTTTTTCAAGGGAGCCTCTTGTTCTGTAGCTGTAACTTCTGCTCAACTCCTCTGAGGAGACGCCCTGGCCCGTGTCCTCCAGGCCAGGGGCAGTGGCTTTCTGTTTCGCGTGGTCTTTCTCCCGTGTCCTGCTGATGGCTCTCGTCTGAATACACACACTTGTGAACGAGACGTTAGACTGGTATTGTAGGCGTTGGCCTGGTGTCTTCTGCGGTGGTGGCCGGCTGGTCCTTCTCCCACAGGCTCCCGCCCAGATGGGAAGGCGGCCCAGGGCCCATTTCCATCAGCTCAGGTCTCCTTAGGATTTGTGGGCACGGCCCCCCCCCCACCCCCCACCACAGCGCCAATGAGGTGGGGTCCCAGCCGGCCCTGGACCCTTCTCAGGCGGTCCTTTCCTCCCTGTAGGGTGGGACTCCATCTTTCATGCTGAACAAATGCTTCCACCCTCAGGCATTCTCCCCAGAGAGCAGGATGCTTGGCCAACTACCACAGCCATTTACTTAAAATAATCCAGTGAGCCCTATGCCAGGAGCACATGCGCTGTTGCACCGGACCTACAGGCACGAGGCTGGGCCCTCCCAGGCCTGACCTCGAAGACAGCTGCTCTCTCTTCCACTGGGAAGCTTTGTTCTCATTCTCACCACTCCTTCTCGGCGCCGACCCACACGCCATCTTCTCAGAGGGCGTGGACCGTGTCTTCCGGGAGAGCGTGGACCTGGCTCAGGCCGTCTTCCGGGAGAGCCTGGGCCCCCTCTCAGGCCGTCTTCCGGGGGAGCGTGGACCTGGCTCAGGCCGTCTTCCGGGGGACCCTGGGCCCCCCTCTCAGGCCGTCTTCCGGGGGAGCGTGGACCTGACTCAGGCCGTCTTCCGGGAGAGTCTGGGCCCCCCTCTCAGGCCGTCTTCCGGGGGAGCGTGGACCTGGCTCAGGCCGTCTTCCGGGGGACCCTGGGCCCCCCTCTCAGGCCGTCTTCCGGGGGAGCGTGGACCTGGCTCAGGCCGTCTTCCGGGGGACCCTGGGCCCCCCTCTCAGGCCGTCTTCCGGGGGAGCGTGGACCTGGCTCAGGCCGTCTTCCGGGAGAGCCTGGGCCCCCCTCTCAGGCCGTCTTCCGGGGGAGCGTGGACCTGGCTCAGGCCGTCTTCCGGGAGAGCCTGGGCCCCCCTCTCAGGCCGTCTTCCGGGAGAGCGTGGACCTGGCTCAGGCCGTCTTCCGGGAGAGCCTGGGCCCCCCTCTCAGGCCGTCTTCCGGGAGAGCGTGGACCTGACTCAGGCCGTCTTCCGGGAGAGCCTGGGCCCCCGCTCAGGGCGTCTTCTGGGAGGGCATGGGTCCCACTCACCCCTTCTCTCCATCACACAGTAGTTCAGCGTTGTTCCCTCCCGAATCCTCTCGTTTCACTGGAAAAAGAGAAGCAAATGTTCTCCCCCATCCTCTTGAACCCCTACAATACTTACTAGCCAAACTGTCAGGGCACCGCTTTATTTAGAAACTCTTGTGTTTCATGAGCGAATGATTCTTAAAGGGGCTGTTGATGGTGATGCCTTGCATTTAATATGCAGATTTATAATTTTGACAGCATTTTTACATACACTAATCAGTTTGATTGACATAACCCCGATAAGTGGGGAAGGCAGGAATTCTTATTAACACTTCAGGAAATGCAGACACGAAGATGAAGAGGCCAAGTGGCTTTCCTGATGCCCTGAGGGCGGGGCAGAGCTGAAATGTAGAGCTGATGGTCCTTTATCCTTCCCAGTTCCAGGTTCCTTTTGGAAGCAGGCATCAAGGCCCGGTGGTGACCATGCATTACCTCTTTATGGGAAATTATTTTTCGAGTTTATTAATAACTAGAAAAAAGGAGTTTTCTAGAGTACATTAGGGGGTCATGTTTAAATTTTTGCTAGTCTAGCCTACAAAACATATTCTGAAAATATGGCTTTTATAAATATTCTTTCCCATTTAAACTAAGGTCCAGCTTTATCGCTCCACAATTTTCTTGGACTGACTTACAACTGCCCTGGAAAAATGCACATTTCTTGAAAACAGCCTGGTAGAGTTCAACTTTGTAAAAACAGCCCAGGACAACTAGGAAACCCTTCTGAGGGAAGTGGTCCGGCCTCTCTTATTAGGAAAAATACAAAAGTGCCAATTAATTCCACGATGGAGCATAAGTTTTCCAAGTTTTGAAATGTAGACTATGTTTTGCTGCATATGCTTGGCTTTGAACCTAAAATGAGCACATAAGGTAAAGAAATGTGTCCGTACTGTCTGTGCCACGCTTTCGGCTTGAATAAAGAATTGTGTTATTGTGTTGTACCAGATAAAGCTGGTTATCAAACATGATTTTCCCATTTGCACTTTAGAAACCATGACAGTTTAAATACAGTTAAAACTTCTCTTTCCATCATACAAAGAGCATCTGTGTAAGTTCATCTTCACAAGGACCTAAGAGAAGCGGAGTATAAGGAGTTTATTCCCCCAATTTTTCAAAACCTTTCCTTCCGTTGTCTCCCCTGAATGACTGGCAGTCACTTTGATCTTAAAATTAAAAGCAAGGTCTTTTTATTTGCATCCAGTCGGGCATGAGGAAGATAAGCTGAAACAAATGAACTGGACAAAAATCCCTAAACAGAAACCTCATGCTGCGATGAAAGATGGTGAATTATCATCTGTATTTCAAGGAATTGATCTTAATGATTACTAAGTGGATACCGAGAAATGTGAAGCTGATGCTGTGTCTCTGTGGGTCTGTTCAGGCACATTAAGATTCACGGAGGCCGACGGCTGAGTACAATAAGGAGCGCTGATGGGCAATTGATTTTAAATCTTTGGTTTAAACTGTTAGGTTTAAACTATAAAATGCAGGACAGATTTCACTAAACCGGTGCTGACCCTTGCGTAGTGTGAATGCTGACACATTTCTACTAAACATCCCTCCTCAAAATGGAGAGGAAAAGAAAATCAATGACTGGACATTTGTTCCACCCGAACATTTAAATAGTTTAGCCTGGCTCATTTAAATAGTTTAGCCTGGAATAATTCACAGGGTGCGGATGAAAACCCTCAAGGCTGAATTAACTAAGGAGAGGACTGGCAGCCCTGGCCGTGAGTTAAATCCTCACCAAATGCCTTCATTTATCCCAAGTAAGGAAATGGGTAGATGGAAATACATGAGAAATGGAGGAGAAAATAAATATTTTTGCTACACTCTCAAGGTCTAGTACTCCAATCAAAGCTGTTCAAACACTTCTTCACTTTTCTGATTATTAACTCATAACTGAGCATTCAATTCTATCTTCAATCTAATTGTCCAAAAGGCTTCACCAGGAAAAGAAAATCCAACGCCATATTATATCTCAAAGCAACACAACTAAACTCATTTTATTCTGGTCTCTTTGACTATGAGTCTTTTTTTACTGGAAGCATAACACTAACTTTGTTGGTGAAAAAATAAAGGACACTAGCATCCAGTGTTTACCTGCATGCCAGGCAATGTTTGGGGTGTGTAAAGCCACATTCTCCTATTATTCAACAAGCTAAAATATTCTTTATTATTACTATTATTATACTTTAAGTTTTAGGGTACATGTGCACAACGTGCAGGTTTGTTACATATGTATACATGTGCCATGTTGGTGTGCTGCACCCAGTAACTCATCATTTAGCATTAGGTATATCTCCTAATGCTATCCCTCCCCCCTCCCCCCACCCCACAACAGGCCCCGGTGTGTGATGTTCCCCTTCCTGTGTCCATGTGATCTCATTGTTCAATTCCCACCTATGAGTGAGAACATGCAGTGTTTGGTTTTTTGTCCTTGTGATAGTTTGCTGAGAATGATGGTTTCCAGTTTCATCCATGTCCCTACAAAGGACATAGACTTATCATTTTTTATGGCTGCATAGTATTCCATGGTGTACATGTGCCACATTTTCTTAAACCAGTCTATCATTGTTGGACATATGGCTTGGTTCCAAGTCTTTGCTATTGTGAATAGTGCCAAAATAAACATATGTGTGCATATGTCTTTACAGCAGCATGATTTATAATCCTTTGGGTATATACCCAGTAATGGGATGACTGGGTCAAATGGTATTTCTAGTTCTAGATCCCTGAGGAATCGCCACACTGACTTCCACAATGGTTGAACTAGTTTACAGTCCCACCAACAGGGTAAAAGTGTTCCTATTTCTCCACATCCTCTCCAGCACCTGTTGTTTCCTGACTTTTTAATGATCACCATTCTAACTGGTGTGAGATGGTATCTGTGGTTTTGATTTGTATTTCTCTGATAGCCAGTGATGATGAGCATTTTTTTGTGTGTTTTTTGGCTGCATAAATGTCTTCTTTTGAGAAGTGTCTGTTCATACCTTCGCCCACTTTTTCATGGGGTTGTTTGATTTTTCTTGTAAATTTGTTTGAGTTCATTGTAGATTCTGGATATTAGCCCTTTGTCACATGAGTGGGTTGCAAAAATTTTCTCCCATTCTGTAGGCTGCCTGTTCACTCTGATGGTGGTTTCTTTTATTATTATTATTATTATTATTATTATTATTATACTTTAAGTTTTAGGGTACATGTGCACATTGTGCAGGTTAGTTACATATGCATACATGTGCCATGCTGGTGTACTGCACCCACTAACTCGTCATCTAGCATTAGGTATATCTCCCAATGCTATCCCTCCCCCCTCCCCCCACCCCACCACAGTCCCCAGAGTGTGATATTCCCCTTCCTGTGTCCATGGGATCTCATTGTTCAATTCCCACCTATGAGTGAGAATATGCGGTGTTTGGTTGTTTGTTCTTGCGATAGTTTACTGAGAATGATGATTTCCAATTTCATCCATGTCCCTACAAAGGACATGAACTCATCATTTTTTATGGCTGCATAGTATTCCATGGTGTATATGTGCCACATTTTCTTAATCCAGTCT
Source organism: Homo sapiens (assembly GCF_000001405.40). Taxonomy (NCBI): domain Eukaryota; kingdom Metazoa; phylum Chordata; class Mammalia; order Primates; family Hominidae; genus Homo; species Homo sapiens. Next base: position 1,261,909 of record NC_000010.11, on the reverse strand, counting down.
ATCATTGTTGGACATTTGGCTTGGTTCCAAGTCTTTGCTATTGTGAATAATGCCACAATAAACATACGTGTGCATGTGTCTTTATAGCAGCAAGATTTATAGTCCTTTGGGTATATACCCAGTAATGGAATGGCTGGGTCAAATGGTATTTCTAGTTCTAGATCCCTGAGGAATCGCCACACTGACTTCCACAATGGTTGAACTAGTTGACAGTCCCACCAACAGTGTAAAAGTGTTCCTATTTCTCCACATCCTCTCCAGCACCTGTTGTTTCCTGACTTTTTAATGATTGCCTGGTGTGAGATGGTATCTCATTGTGGTTTTGATTTGCATTTCTCTGATGGCCAGTGATAATGAGCATTTTTTCATGTGTCTTTTGGCTGCATAAATGTCTTCTTTTGAGAAGTGTCTGTTCATGTCCTTTGCCCACTTTTTTATGGGGTTGTTTTTTTCTTGTAAATTTGTTTGAGTTCATTGTAGATTCTGGGTATTAGCCCTTTGTCAGATGAGTAGGTTGCGAAAATTTTCTCCCATTTTGTAGGTTGCCTGTTCACTCTGATGGTAGTTTCTTTTGCTGTGCAGAAGCTCTTTAGTTTAATTAGATCCCATTTGTCAATTTTGTCTTTTGTTGCCATTGCTGTTGGTGTTTTGGACATGAAGTCCTTGCCCATGCCTATGTCCTGAATGGTGATGCCCAGGTTTTCTTCTAGGGTTTTTATGGTTTTAGGTCTAACGTTTAAGTCTTTAATCCATCTTGAATTGATTTTTGTATAAGGTGTAAGGAAGGGATCCAGTTTCAGCTTTCTACATATGGCTAGCCAGTTTTCCCAGCACCATTTATTAAATAGGGAATCCTTTCCCCATTGCTTGTTTTTCTCAGGTTTGTCAAAGATCAGATAGTTGTAGATATGCGGCGTTATTTCTGAGGGCTCTGTTCTGTTCCATTGATCTATATCTCTGTTTTGGTACCAGTACCATGCTGTTTTGGTTACTGTAGCCTTGTAATATAGTTTGAAGTCAGGTAGTGTGATGCCTCCAGCTTTGTTCTTTTGGCTTAGGATTGACTTGGTGATGCGGGCTCTTTTTTGGTTCCATATGAACTTTAAAGTAGTTTTTTCCAATTCTGTGAAGAAAGTCATTGGTAGCTTGATGGGGATGGCATTGAATCTGTAAATTACCTTGGGCAGTATGGCCATTTTCACAATATTGATTCTTCCTACCCATGAGCATGGAATGTTCTTCCATTTGTTTGTATCCTCTTTTATTTCCTTGATCAGTGGTTTGTATTTCTCCTTGAAGAGGTCCTTCACATCCCTTATAAGTTGGATTCCTAGGTATTTTATTGTCTTTGAAGCAATTGTGAATGGGAGTTCACTCATGATTTGGCTCTCTGTTCGTCTGTTATTGGTGTATAAGAATGCTTGTGATTTTTGTACATTGATTTTATATCCTGAGACTTTGCTGAAGTTGCTTATCAGCTTAAGGAGATTTTGGGCTGAGACAATGGGGTTTTCTAGATATACAATCATGTCGTCTGCAAACAGGGACAATTTGACTTCCTCTTTTCCTAACTGAATGCCCTTTATTTCCTTCTCCTGCCTGATTGCCCTGGCCAAAACTTCCAACACTATGTTGAATAGGAGTGGTGAGAGAGGGCATCCCTGTCTTGTGCCAGTTTTCAAAGGGAATGCTTCCAGTTTTTGTCCATTCAGTATGATATTGGCTGTGGGTTTGTCATAGATAGCTCTTATTATTTTCAGATACGTCCCATCAATAACTAATTTATTGAGGTTTTTTTAGCATGAAGGGTTGTTTAATTTTGTCAAAGGCCTTTTCTGCATCTATTGAGATAATCATGTGGTTTTTGCCTTTGGTTCTGTTTATATGCTGGATTACATTTATTGATTTTCGTATGTTGAACCAGCCTTGCATCCCAGGGATGAAGCCCACTTGATCATGGTGGATGAGCTTTTTGATGTGTTGCTGGATTCGGTTTGCCCATATTTTATTGAGGATTTTTGCATCAATGCTCATCAAGGATATTGGTCTAAAATTCTCTTTTTTTGTTGTGTCTCTGCCAGGCTTTGGTATCAGGATGATGCTGGCCTCCTAAAATGAGTTAGGGAGGAGTCCCTCTTTTTCTATTGATTGGAATAGTTTCAGAAGGAATGGTACCAGTTCCTCCTTGTACCTCTGGTAGAATTCGGCTGTGAATCCATCTGGTCCTGGACTTTTTTTGGTTGGTAAGCTATTAATTATTGCCTCAATTTCACAGCCTGTTATTGGTCTATTCAGAGATTCAACTTCTTCCTTGGTTTAGTCTTGGGAGAGTGTATGTGTCGAGGAATTTATCCATTTCTTCTAGATTTTCTAGTTTATTTGCGTAGAAGTGTTTATAGTATTCTCTAATGGTAGTTTGTATTTCTGTGGGACTGGTGGTGATATCCCCTTTATCATTTTTTATTGCATCTATTTGATTCTTCTCTCTTTTCTTCTTTATTAGTCTTGCTAGAGGTCTATCAATTTTGTTGATCTTTTCAAAAAACCAGCTCCTGGATTCATTAATTTTTTGAAGGTTTTTTGTGTCTCTATTTCCTTCAGTTCTGCTCTGATCTTAGTTATTTCTTGCCTTCTGCTAGCTTTTGAATGTGTTTGCTCTTGCTTGTCTAGTTCTTTTCACTGTGATGTTAGGGTGCCAATTTCAGATCTTTCCTGCTTTCTCTTGTGGGCATTTAGCACTATAAATTTCCCTCTACACACTGCTTTGAATGTGTCCCAGAGATTCTGGTATGTTGTGTCTTTGTTCTCCTTGGTTTCAAAGAACATCTTTATTTCTGCCTTCATTTCGTTATTTACCCAGTAGTCATTCAGGAGCAGGTTGTTCAGTTTCCATGTAGTTGAGCAGTTTTGACTGAGTTTCTTAATCCTGAGTTCCAGTTTGATTGCACTGTGGTCTCAGAGACAGTTTGTTATAATTTCTGTTCTTTTACATTTGCTGAGGAGTGCTTTACTTCCAACTATGTGGTCAATTTTGGAATAGGTGTGGTGTGATGCTGAAAACAATGTATATTCTGTTGATTTGGGGTGGAGACTTCTGTAGATGTCTATTAGGTCTGCTTGGTGCAGAGCTGAGTTCAATTCCTGGATATCCTTGTTAACTTTATGTCTCGTTGATCTGTCTAATGTTGACAGTGGGGTGTTAAAGTCTCCCATTATTATTGTGGGGAGTCTAAGTCTCTTTGTAGGTCACTAAGGATTTGCTTTATGAATCTGGGTGCTCCTGTATTGGATGCATATATATTTAGAATAGTTAGTTCTTCTTGTTGAATTGATCCCTTTACCATTATGTAATGGCCTTCTTTGTCTCTTTTGATCTTTGTTGGTTTAAAGACTGTTTTATTAGAGACTAGGATTGCAACCCCTGCCTTTGTTTGCCATTTGCTTGGTAGATCTTCCTCCATCCCTTTGAGCCTATGTGTGTCTCTGCAGCTGAGATGGGTTTCCTGAATACAGCACACTGATGGGTCTTGACTCTTTTTCCAATTTGCCAGTCTGTGCCTTTTAATTGGAGCATTTAGCCCATTTACATTTAAGGTTAGTATTGTTATGTGTGAATTTGATCCTGTCATTATGATGTTAGCTGGTTATTTTGCTCATTAGTTGATGCAGTTTCTTCCTAACAAGCTAAAATATTCTTATATTTACCTTAACCATGCTATGGTTAAGCACACTTAAGAAAGAGGGCAAGAAAGAAAAAGAGTTAGGGAGGGAGGGAGAGAGAAAGAGAAAAAGAGAGAGCTAGGAAAGGGAAGGAGAAGGAAGAAAGAAGCTTCAGGAAATGACTGTGCATTATCTGTGAGCAGGAGTTAATCATCGTTGACAGGGTCCCCACTGTGTGGATGGAGATATAATAAAGATATTCTAAAGGATTCAGGCTAATTAGTGAACAAATGTGAAACTGAGTGAAGCTGTAACCCTCTGAAGTAAGTGTGGACTTTCAAATGTGTGCACCTGGGGTCATGGTTTACACTCCCTGCTTCCCCAGTAGACCCCATATTTAAATTTTCAAGATGTGTCCATCTGCATTAGGTGATATTGAAAGGACTTCCCTGCGGAAACACTGGAGGAACCTTTGGTGCTGTTCCAGACACATCCACGTTGGAACCTGGGGGTAATTCACACCAAGAAACACAGGGTCTCCTGGCTTCCTGCCCTATGCTGTTATAACCAAACTTTCCTCTCTCCGCACCTCTCTTTCCCACACACCCTCACTGCACAGTGTGTCTGTGTCTCCTTCTGCTGCTCCGTTGGACTTTTGAAGTCCTCATGCACAGCGCTCTGGACCCAGCCCCTGCAGCAGCTTCATCACACTGATGACAGGAAGAGGTGTGCATGGAGGCAGGCTCCCAGGTTAGAGAGGGGATGGGCATCTGATCCCTGAGTGCTGACCCTGAAGAGGAAGGGAAGTGGGGTCTCGGGCTGAGGAGGAGCTCCCGATGGAGGAAAGCAGTCTCAGCTTTGGGGCCATCCTGGCAACAGGTGGCTCAGGGAGGAGCCAGTCCATGACAAGCTCAGTGGAGGGCAGAGAAGGGGAGGAGAGTATGAAGCTACAATCGACAGTGGGTTCAGGGCGGCCTCCCCAACTTAGGTCAGTGCCTCCCTGTGTGGTTGGGTCATTACCCAAGAATGGGTGCTCTAACTAACCAGCCAGATTTGAGCCCAGGGGAACTCACACCTCAGTCAAGAAAAGAATAGAAAGTATTAGAGGTCAGCAGAGAGGGCGTGGAGCTCACAGGGCCTGAACACAGCTCGCCTCTGAGCTGATTCAAATATGATCTTCTTAAAAACAGAACAAAAGCATACCAAGTGGTTGCTTAAAAATGAAGAAAGCACTGTCACTTACAATATTTAGTCCATGAATTATTTATGAGCGCGGGCTTCATGCTCTCATTATTTCTGGTTTTAGTGCCAGTGAGGAGACCTTGTCAGCCATCCTCGGTAGGAGAAGAGACCGTTCATCGATCATACCAGGTGTTTCCTATTTGTTCCTTTGATATGGGGTGAAGAGCTTGCTCAGCCCAATGCAAATGAGGAGATAAATAGACTTTTAATAGACTTTTCAATCTATTAATTGCAAAGCGTTTGTTGTCATTCTACCTCTTTCTTGGGGGTAGGAACAGGGCATTAAATATATTTACTAAATGTGTAATTACCATATTTATATCCAGTGAAACCCTTGCAGTGTTGATGTTGAGGATCGTAACTAATAACCTTCTCATAAGCTCGCCTGGCCCCATCTTTTGATATATGTGGTATCCTACCCCAAATTCTATGTATTTTGAGGTTTTATGCACTCAGAATGCCACTGGCTGCAGGAAGTGAGATAGCTGATTAGCAGTGTTGCAAACACGCACCTTTTTATTGTCTCAGTAACCAACAGTGGCCCACATGCCAGACAGTGGTGGCAGGCGCCATTCAGGCCCCTGTGGTTTCAGGGTGTGTGGCCCCCTGACCTCTCCTCATCCCACCCGCTGCTGCAGGTCATGCTCCCAGACCCCATCAGGGCAGGAGGAGGACATGTTCCATCCCACAGACTTCTTTTGGTCAGGATTTTGCTGCTGGCCACTCAGCTGTGCAGGAAGTAGCGGGGAGAGTTGGAAAGGGAGAGTTTTGCATCTCAGTCTCCACAGCAGAGCCAGTGAGGGAGGACAGCTTGGAGCTGGATGTTCAAAAACCAACACTGGTGCAGGCATCCACAGTGCCTGCTCACATCTCCTGGAGCTTCAAGTCCCTCTTCGTTACTGAGCTGTAATACTGGGCAATACTCCAAGTTGAGCACTGTGCTGGGACGAGTGTGGAGAGGTCTGTGCAGCAGCAAATACTGCTGCATCTGCCTGTCCATTCTCATGCCCCGCAAGTATACTTTGGAAAAGTCAAGTTAATTCAGTAGGAGAATGTGCCAGATGTGCCACTGTCATGTAAACACCGTTAGCTCCCAGGGCTGACATGTGGTTGTCAATGTGCTTGCCTGCCTGGATGCTGCCTGTGTCAGGGCCCAACTTGTCCTGCCCGCTGATGGGGCTATAGTGTGTTTGACCCACCATGAGTCACAGACACACGTGTGACCTGTTTGGGAGGGATCCCCTCCACTCTCATGAGGTCACACTGTCTAGCGAACCATGCAGCCAGCTCCCTGCCCAAGGCCCACAGAAAGGTCACTGGCATCTCCTCAGTTTCCTCCCTCTTACCTCTAACCTCACCGACAGCCCATCAGGTTTGGAGAAGTTCCATTCCCTGATGGGGAACAGCAAAGAGCGTTGACCAGCTGACATCTGGTCACATCCCTGTCCATGGCCTGACCCTCTTTGGGTTGTAGTGGGGGCCACAGTGCCCGAGGCCATCACAGGTGGACAGCAGCCAGCGTCAGCCTGGCATGGTTTCTGGGCTCTCTCAATGCCTTTGTCGTGTTGTATGTTATGTGGAGTGAGCAGCATGTTTGATTAGTGTGTAGACCCAGCGCTCACATGTGCCTGGCACAGAAGGCTTGGTGAGCGTCAGCTGCACTGACGAGGACAAGCTACGTGACGTGGCACCCAGGGCCAGTGATTGCCTCATTTCCTGTCAGAGCAACATGTGAATCTGTGTTGACAAAGCAAGCCCCAGCCATTTTGGAAGGAAAAAGAATGAGTGTTAAAACAGCAGAGTTATTCATTTCTGACATTCCTGGATCCAAGCACTCCCTCATGTTTTGGCCCCATGAGGAGCTCAGAGCATTGGCCCCGCTTGCTCCCTCACTGGGGCTGAGCCCCGGCATGACTGGCAGTCTCAGCACCTGAAAGTGAGGGTGGCATGTCCTCTGGGAGCATTTTATAAGGAAATTAATGAGTATGTGATTACTGTGCTTATCCTGACAACTAAGTGCTGAGGCTGAGAAACCCTGGCTTTCACAGCGTGTTCACACAGTTGGACAGAGTCAGCATTTGGGATTCACTAATCAGTTGCCCACCATTCTTTGAAGCTCAGGTACAGCAAATGGGGACCATGGCATCTGTGGATGCCCACAGAGTGGGTTTTCTTTGTAGATGCCTACAATCTATTGAGCACCATATGTGTGCAACGCTCAAGAGAAACTGCCCCTTGATTCAATGGTTTCTCTTTCAAATTGCCAAACCAAAGAATCTGCCTCAGTGAAGAGCACCTATTCCCAAACTGCATCCAATGACATCACACAGCCAGGTGAAAAAGTGAATATTCTGCATCTGCTTTTTTTCACATACTTCTGCTCCCCAAATTCACCTGACCATAAGAATAACCTGAAAACATTGCCTAAAAACAGATTTTCAGGAACCTCACAAGGAGATGCTCATTCAATAGTTTTGGGGTTCTCGATTTGTAGGAGACTGGAGCCACATCTGTGATTTCAACAGTGACCAAAAGATTCCTCTGATCACACAAGTATAAGAAAGAATGGCCAAAACTTGCTTGACATCTTTTATGCAGAGAGCAATTCTCCCAGTTCTGGTGAAGACAACATGGTGAGCAAGGCTTCTACCCATCATCTCCACTCAGGAGTACCTGGGAAGAAGGTAGACGGTTCTGGTGATGTCACCCATACAACAGGAGGCCCTCCAGAAACTACTACTGCCTCACAGGCACTGGAGTTCTACACCAGTAACCACACAGAGCCCTCCACATCCTAACCACAGAGCCCACCACATCCTAACCACAGAGCCCACCATGTCCTAACCACAGAGCCCACTGCATTCTAACCACGGAATCCACTGCATCCTAACCAGAGTCAACTGCATCCTAACCAGAGACCGCGGCATCCTAACCACATCCTAACCACAGAGCCGACCTCACCCTAACCACCGAGCCCTCTGCATCCTAACCATAGCCCACCGTATTCTAACCTAACCACAGAGCCCACCTCATCCTAAACACAGAACCCACCGTATCCTAACCCAGAGCCCATCGCATCTTAACCAGATCCCACATTTTACCCACAGAGCCCACCGCATCCTAACCACAGATGCCACCACATCCTCACCACAGAGCTCCTTGTTTTCATGCAGGCTGCTCCCAGTCTTCAGCTACTCTTCCTCCTTTACGTGGCCAGTGGTTACACACCTTCTAGTCCAGGACACAGGTCTCTTCTTTCTCCCTCTCTTAACACTGGCTTTGATGTCCATGGTTGCCCCATCCTCTGAGAAGGTGTCCCTACAGCTGGTGTAGCCCAACCACAGACAGTTTCTGCTCTCCTGCCATGCTGCCTTCTCCCTGCCTGTGAGCATGTGCTGTGAAAGGAGCTTTGAGACTGCACAGTTTTTTATCCTCTTTCCCTTGAATAAGGTAGGTGTTTAATGCCCACTGAATGAATGGATGGATAAACAAATGGAAATACATTAAAATATGCCCTTGATACTTTAAAGCAAGCGAGTGCTCATCCTGGAATTGTTATTTGGCCCATGGTGCAATGCCATGGTCAGATTTAGTTGAAAGGTGTTCTTGAACGTGTCTTGTCTTTAAGCTTTCCCACACCAGCCCTCTTGTTCTCATTGCAAGAACATGTGCTTCATAGTCAGTAGAAGTTAATAATGGAACACATGGTTTTTTGTGTGTTATTCTAGCAAGGGAAGTCACAGAAACATCCTGGTTGCAGATGGAAAAACAAATATGATTACAAGAGAACAGAAATATATGTATCATAATAGCTAAAGATGGCGGCATTTTTGCTGTGTATCAGGCACATGTTAAGAACTTCGCATTATTTTCTTTAATCTTTAAAAACTTTTTCCAAACAAGATAACTGAACACAATTAAATTCTTGCCTCAAGTAAGCAGCAGAAACAGGGCTACCTGTGCCCTAGAGCCTGTTAAACTCTGACTACAGTGCTTTGTTATCTGATATTCCCCAGATGTATTGTCATTCATAGAGGAGAGCACAAAACATTTACACATAACTTGTTTTCCTTCCAAAATCAATGCATTTGAAATGTTTAGAGAATAAAAGCCCAGGAGACACTGGTGTCTTCTGATTCCTGAGGAAAGCCATAAATCAAGACCCTAGTGGAAGAAAAATCTCCCCTGTCAAAAGCAAAGCTGTTTCCTTTCAGTCTCAGTCCAATCATGTCCCCAACAGACAAGATGTCCCCAAGCCAGACATTTTAAAATCTACCTGATTTCGAACTAATTAGAGGAAATATAGAGAATGGAAGCAGAAACACCAGAAGATTTAAAAAAAAAAAAATTGGCTTGCAGGAAAAGATTGAAAATAAAACATAGACTTTGACCAAATAATGACTAGATGTGGGATTGCAGGCCGATCATGATATTCACTGCGAGTATTCAGAGAATACCAACCACAAGGAGACTGGGAGCTTTAAAGATGAAGTCTGGGAAGTGGACTGAAATTGTACAGAAGATCAGTTAGGCTGAACACTGAAGAAGGTTTCCTAACACTGAGCACTGATAAACTGTGGAAGAGTCTTTCTCAAGGCAAGCTGTGGAAACCCTGTTGTTGAGTCATTAAATTCAGTGGGCACAGTTCTAGGAAATAGGGAGGCAGAGTTAATTACACATGACACCCTTGGGGCAGTCTACATGTGGAGTAAAAATTATTCCTTTCTCTCTATATCTTCTATAATTTTGAAATGTATTTCTTTGATGCTATTTGGTATATTTTACTTTCAGTTTTCTTCTTAGAAATTTGGTAATCCTTTTCCTCCAAAACCAGATACAGTATAAGAAATTTACCTTTAAAACATTGGAACAGGCTGAGAATGACTTAGTTCCAAGTAAATAATAAAAGCCCATTCCCAGACATTGTCTAGAGATGGGTAATGTGCTGGGGAGAAGCCCTGTGTCTGCATCCATTTGTGCTGCTGCAACAAAGTACCTCAGACTGAGCCATTTATAAACAACAGAAGTTCATTGCTCACAGTTCTGGGGGCTGGGAAGTCCACAATCCAGACGTCAGCAGGCTTGGTGTCGAGAGGGCTGCACTCTGCCTCCAGGATGGTGCCTTGTTGCTACATCGTTTGGAGGGGAGGAACACTGTATCCTCACATGGCAGATGGGATGGATGGCATAAGAGGGCTGGACTCTGTCTGAAGTCTCTTTTATAGGGGTATTAATCCATTCATGAAGGTGGAGCCCTCATCCCCTAATCACCTCCTAAAGGCCCCACCTTTTAATACCACCACAATGAGGATTAAGTTTCAATATAAATTTTGGAGAAAACACCACATTTAAACCATAGCACCCACCAAGTTTATACATTATCCCTTATTTTATTTATGACATATGCATCTTTATTTCTTTAATCACCCAAAAACCATTCTTTGTGTTAGGGTTCGCTCCCGGTGTTGGACATTCTATGGGTTTGGACAAATGTATAATGACATGGATCCACCATTGTACCATCAAACAGAGTAGTTTCACTGCCCTAAAAATCCTCTGTTCTCCATCTATTCATCCCTTCCCCGCCTCATCCCCTGGCAACCACTGACCTTTTTACATATCTCCATAGTTTTGCCTTTTCCAGAATGCCCTGTAGTTGAAATCATATAATATGTAGACTTTTCAGATCAGCTTCTTTTACTTAACTTTTATTTAACTTTCCTCCATGTCTTTTCATGGCTTGATAACTGATTTATTTTTAGTGCTGAGTAATATTCCATTGTCTGAATGTACCATGATTTATCCATTCACCTGCTGAAAGATATCTTGCTTGTTTCCAAGTTTTGGCAATTATGGGTAAAGATGCTGTAAACATTCAAATACAGTTCTTCATTTCTTACATCTAAACATTGATCAATTTGGAATTTACTCTGGTACATGGTGTCAGATAAAGATGCAATTTTATTTCTCAGATGACTATGCAGTTGTTAGATACCATTAATTGGATAGTCTCTCTTTGCCTCAGTGGTTTGAGATGTGATTACCTTTGTCCTATACTAAATTCCTGCACGTGTTGGGTCAATTTCTGGACTCCCCACTTTGTTCCACCTGTTTCACTTCACACCCCATCCCCACAGTGACCTGGCATGGAGCCTCTATAACCTGCTTGATGTACACTAGGGCTTGTCTCCAGCATTAGCCTTCTTTTTCAGAATTTTCTGGGTTTCCTTTTAGAATCAGCTTGCCCAGTTAAAAACAAATAACTATCTTAGTTCATTTTGTGTTGCTATAACAGAATACATGAGACTGGGTACTTTATAAAAAATAGTGGTTTATCTAGCTCATGCTTCTGCAGGCTGGGAAGTTTAAGGGTATGGCAGTGGATTCTGGTGAGAGCTTTTTTTCTGCATCATAACATGATGGAGAAGGTCAAGGGGGAAGCAGACACTTGTAAAGAGAAAACCAGAGGGGCATCATGGCTTCATTACAGCCCACGCTCATGGGAACTAATGCATTTCCTTGAAGACTAAGGGACATCGTGGCTTCATTACAGCCAACTCTCACAGGAACGAACCCATTTCCTTGAAGACTAATCCATCTTGCCAGAGCAAGAACTCACCGCCTTGAGGACAGCACCAAGCCCTTCATAAGGAATCCACCCCATGACCCAAACACCTCCCACTAGGTCCCATCACCCCCCAACACCGCCACACTGAGGACCAAATCTCAACAGGAGTTTTGGCTACAAATAAACCATACCCAAGCCATAGCAATGGCAAAGCAAAACAAAATTATACTTTTTAACCAGGTGTCTTGTCCAAAACAAAGCACCATTGCTGTTTCTTTGGGAATCCTGTTAAATTTATGAATCAATTTAGAGAGGATTCATTATGTTAAACCTCCCTATCCAAAAATGTGGCAAGTCTTTCTGTTTGTTTAAATTTTGTTGTGTCCTTCAATAGGATTTTTAAGTTTTATTCACTATAGTCCTTGGTCATTTCTCGTTAAACTTATTCCTATTATCTCGTTTGCTGCCATTATAAATGGAGTCATTTTTCCTTTACAGTGTCTCTCTAGTTGCTGTGTGTCTCTATGAAAGTTATTGACTTCTGTATATTAACTTGGAACGCTTTCACCATATTAAGCTCTCTCATTGTTTCTAGCAGTATGTCAACTGGATTCTCTGGAGGTTTCCAGACACAGAATCATAACATGTTCAGACAGTGCTTGTGTTACCTGCCCCTCTCCAATTACTACAGAGCTAATTTCTTTCTCTTGTTGTGCTCGTCAATGGCTGCAGCAGATGTTCCTGAATGGTCATAAAAATGCCTGGAGTGCTTCCCCATAGAGCATGATACTCGTGTGTATGTGTGTGTGTGTGTGTGTGTGTGCATAAAATCACATTCAGGAAAAAAATCCCTCTGTTCCACTTGACAGAGTTGAGTTTTGATAAAAACTCAGTGTTTTATCAAAAGCATTTGTTGTATTTTGTCAGATGCCTTATCAGTGTCTGTAATTATGCCTATTTTTGTGTTGCATATAAATCCATTTTTTTTTTTTTTTTTTGAGACAGGGTCTTGCTCTGTTACCCAGGCTGGAGAGCAGTGGCGCAATCTCAGCTCACTCCAACCTCCGCCTCCAGGGCTCAAGTGATCCTCCCACCTCAGTCTCTCAAGTACCCGGGACTACAGGCTCACGCCTCCACACCCAGCTACTTTTTGTATTTTTTGTAGACTTGGGGTCTGGCTATGTTGCCCAGGCTGGTCTCAAACACCTGGCCTTAAGCAATCCACTGTCCTCAGCCTCCCAAAGTGCTGGGATTACAGGTGTGAACCACTGTGTGCCTGGCCTTAATTTTTTAATATAACTGATTATCACATTTCAGAAATAAGCCCATGTTGCAGGGACGTACTGTAGTGCTCTTTTCCTCTGCTACTTGATGGCTAGTATTTTGTCTAACTGAGGGTCCTCTGTTGTCTGCTTTGTTGTGCAGGCTACGTCAGTATGGCAATGATTTAGGCATTCCATGATAACACACAACCCGAAGGCTTCTCTTGTCTTTATATGCTCCAGAACACTTACAATTGCCTTGAAACCATCTGCTACTTGAAGGTTCAGTCGAATTCTACAAAACTCACTGTGCTTGGTGCTTTGGCGGGGGTGCAGGAGCCCTGCTGTTTGGCCAGCTTTTCCACTTATTCTATAGAAATTCGTATATTTTCTGTGACTACTTCTCATGTTGTCTTACAGAGTAGTAGTTTTACTCTCAATAGCCATTTATAGGAAAAGAGATCACCAATAGCCACTATGTATGGAGTGATGCTTCTATACAAACTTGCATTTTATTGGCTTAACAGCATCATTGGAAGGATTGGAGTAAATGCTGTTGGCACCACAGCCGCCCCATCCTGGGCTTCCTGATCTTCTCCTGGCTCCGAGTACCGGCCAGGAGCAGCTCACAGCTGCAGCCTCCTCCTGAGAATGGCCCTAGCCACCAGAAGCCTACACGCCTGGGAACGTCCACAGCTCATGACTGACACGTCGCACGCCCTTGCCTCACACTCCAGAGCTTCCTGTTTGGTCAGCTGGAGACGGGACCTCAGGAGGACTTCCTAAGTCTTCCTGCACCTCCTGCACGCCTGTGAGTGCCCACAGCTCATGACTGACACGTTGCACGCCCTTGCCTCACACTCCAGAGCTTCCTGTTTGGTCAGCTGGAGACGGGACCTCAGGAGGACTTCCTAAGTCTTCCTGCACCTCCTGCACGCCTGGGAGTGCCCACAGCTCATGACTGACACGTCGCACACCTTTGCCTCACACTCCAGAGCTTCCTGTTTGGTCAGCTGGAGACGGGACCTCAGTACAGCCTCCCCTCGCCTGGCGTCTTTGCTGCCCCATCCTGTCTTCCTGACTTAATAAGCCCCTACTGGAGCATCCCCGACCCAGCCTCTGCTGCAAGGCGGCCTGGCTTTGGGCACATTTTTACACAAAGCATTGCTCATTGAGTGCAGAGCATTTTTGGTGTCCATACGGCTTGGCATGGCCTCACCCCCATCCCAGCAATCAAGGATCTCCATGTGGGGAACCAGAGCACCGAAAAAGGAGAATGTTAGACACCTCTGTGCAGGGTTGACACAGCCCCAAATACCACTGGTTTATACCTGGAGGGTGATGCCCATAAACCAAGGACCCCATTTCTCCCCATAGGTATGAGGGCCCTAGACCTGCCTGTGGTCCCGCCATGGTGGCAGCACCCTCGCGCTGTCCCCTGTGATGGGGGTGTTAAGAAAAGCGTGTTTATCTGAATGCTGGTTGGTGCCGTTTCTGTTTTTGACACGTTTTTGCTCGCAGTCTTCAACTGCTACTGAGCTCTGTTCTCCACCTCACTATGCTGCCTGATGCCTCATCACCCTCATGGCACCGAGGGGAGAGATGATGACGCCCGCCCTCTCCTTTCCCCCAAATTAAATCGGTCAGCCCCAAATTTGGCCATTCTTCATTAATGGGACGTATCTCAAAATAATAAGAGCTATCTATGACAAACCCACAGCCAATATCATACTGAATGGGCAAAAACTGGAAGCATTCCCTTTGAAAACTGGCACAAGACAGGGATGCCCTCTCTCACCACTCCTATTCAACATAGTGTTGGAAGTTTTGGCCAGGGCAATCAGGCAGGAGAAGGAAATAAAGGTTATTCAATTAGGAAAAGAGAAAGTCAAATTGTCTCTGTTTGCAGATGACATGATTGTATATCTAGAAAACCCCATTGTCTCAGCCCAAAATCTCCTTAAGCTGACAGGCAACTTCAGCAAAGTCTCAGGATACAAAATCAATGTACAAAAATCACAAGCATTCTTATACACCAATAACAGACAAACAGCCAAATCATGAGTGAACTCCCTTTCACAATTGCTTCAAAGAGAATAAAATACCTAGGAATCCAACTTACAAGGGATGTGAAGGACCTCTTCAAGGAGAACTACAAACCACTGCTCAATGAAATAAAGGAGGATACAAACAAATGGAAGAACATTCCATGCTCATGGGTGGGAAGAATCAATATCGTGAAAATGGCCATACTGCCCAAGGTAATTTATAGATTCAATGCCATCCCCATCAAGCTACCAATGACTTTCTTCACAGAACTGGAAAAAACTAAAGTTCATATGGAACCAAAAAAGAGCCCGCATCACCAAGTCAATCCTAAGCCAAAAGAACAAGGCTGGAGGCATCACACTACCTGACTTCAAACTATATTACAAGGCTACAGTAACCAAAACAGCATGGTACTGGTACCAAAACAGAGATATAGATCAATGGAACAGAACAGAGCCCTCAGAAATAACGCCGCATATCTACAACTATCTGATCTTTGACAAACCTGAGAAAAACAAGCAATGGGGAAAGGATTCCCTATTTAATAAATGGTGCTGGGAAAACTGGCTAGCCATATGTAGAAAGCTGAAACTGGATCCCTTCCTTACACCTTATACAAAAATCAATTCAAGATGGATTAAAGACTTAAACGTTAGACCTAAAACCATAAAAACCCTAGAAGAAAACCTGGGCATCACCATTCAGGACATAGGCATGGGCAAGGACTTCATGTCCAAAACACCAACAGCAATGGCAACAAAAGACAAAATTGACAAATGGGATCTAACTAAACTAAAGAGCTTCTGCACAGCAAAAGAAACTACCATCAGAGTGAACAGGCAACCTACAGAATGGGAGAAAATGTTTGCAATCTACTCATCTGACAAAGGGCTAATATCCAGAATCTACAATGAACTCAAACAAATTTACAAGAAAAATCAAACAACCCCATGAAAAAGTGGGTGAAGGATATGAACAGACACTTCTCAAAAGAAGACATTTATGCAGCCAAAAGACACATGAAAAAATGCTCATCATCACTGGCCATCAGAAAAATGCAAATCAAAACCACAATGAGATACCATCTCACACCAGTTAGAATGGCAATCATTAAAAAGTCAGGAAACAACAGGTGCTGGAGAGGATGTGGAGAAATAGGAACACTTTTACCCTGTTGGTGTGACTGTAAACTAGTTCAACCATTGTGGAAGTCAGTATGGTGATTCCTCAGGGATCTAGAACTAGAAATACCATTTGATCCAGCCATCCCATTACTGGGTATATACCCAAGGGATTATAAATCATGCTGCTATAAAGACACATGCACACATATGTTTATTGTGGCACTATTCATGATAGCAAAGACTTGGAACCAACCAAAATGTCCATCAGTGATAGACTGGTTTCAGAAAATGTGGCACATATACACCATGGAATACTATGCAGCCATAAAAAAGGATGAGTTCATGTCCTTTGTAGGGACATGGATGAAGCTAGAAACCATCATTCTCAGCAAACTATCACAAGGACAAAAAACCAAACACCGCATGTCCTCACTCATAGGTGGGAATTGAAGAATGAGAACACATGCACACAGGAAGGGGAACATCACACACCGGGGCCTGTTGTGGGGTGGGGGGAGGGGGGAGGAATAGCATTAGGAGATATACCTAATGTTAAATGACAAGTTAACAGGTGCAGCACACCAACATGGCACATGTATACATATGTAACTAACCTGCACGTTGTGCACATGTGCACCCTAAAACTTAAAGTATAATAAAAAAGAAAAAGAAAAAACAAAAAATAAGTAAATAAATAAAAATCTTCCTATTTCTCATTTGTAATGTGTGGTACTCAAGCACATTTTCTGGCTTCTTCCTCTCCCTCATCTTCTGTGTAAATTTCCCAAATCCTGTGGATTCGGTCCTTGCTGTGCTCTCTGGGTCCCTCCCACCAATCCACTCCTGAGGGTGCTTCCTAAGTCCTCATGCACCATGTCCAGCCCCAGCCTCCCACCCAGTGTCCTGGCCCCTTCTCTCCTCCTGTGCAACCCAGCACTCACTCATGGGCAACAGTACTGCTGTCCTTCCGGAAAACCCTTTCACAGCTCCCATTGTCTATTGGTGAAGAGCTAGATCTTCAGGGTGGTACTCAAGGCGTCTGTGACTGATTTCCACCCACCTTTGAAGCTTCGCCACTTTCCCACACACATCTCCTACGGGCTCCAACGGCCCGTAGAATACGCAGATTATGCAGAATATGCCTGTGCCCTTTCCTATCCGTGCCTCTGACCACCATGCCCACTCTGCCTAGGACGCCTCCTCCTGCCACCTGTGCAGAAGCTCCCTGGGTGTGAGTCCGTCTCTCCCTTTTCCTCCCTCACTGTCATGCTGGTGACATTCCATGTACAGCACTTCCGCGACATTTCTCATACGACATCTCATGCTGCAGCCGTTTCTGACCGCGTCATCTCCCTCGGTCCAGGCTTCGCGTCTCCTGTGTTGGGAACGTGGTGCTGGCGGTGGGGGTGAGAATCATGAAAACTGAATATGCAAACACTTCTTGGGCCACGTAATTGTGCTGAGTGTGGCAGAGTCTGGAGCCAAACGGAGCTGGGAATCAATGAGGGGTAAAGGGAAAGCAGTTGCTTTTTTCTACAGCTCCAATTTCCACGGAATCCAAAGAGAAGGAGCAGGCCGGGGCCTCACAGGCCACAGCACCTATTCCTGAAGAGCTGTCCGTTTCCACCAGAGACTGCATGCGCACCGGTCGTGAACACTGAAACTGGTTAGGAATCGTTATCAATGTGTTTCCCATTTCTCTAAATACCAGCTTTAACGAAGCTGGAACCTGAGGGGTGGTTTCTGCATCACGATGTCATCCTTGTGAACCATTTCTCAACAGTCCACATGTCACTGACGGCCTGAGTGAGATGGTGGCTCCCACCCCTGGCAGAGTCAGTAGCAGCTGCCCACCCCAGCTCCCTGTAGCCTTAGATCCTGGTCCCATCTGCTCGTCAACTTCTGGGACCCCCGCTAGGGGGCAGCCCCCGCACCCAGGATGGCTGAGAGAGGAGGAGGCCTGGACCTGGAACCCGGCAGCTGCTCACGAGCTTTCCTGGGGGAGGAACCTCAGGGCGGCTGGTCGTGTCCTGTTCTGATTAAAGCGGCGTGGGGAAGTCTGGTCACTTCCTGAGCTCAGGAGCAGTCCCGTCCCACCAGGGAGGGGGCAGTGGGTAGACAACAGGACCAGGACCATGGAGTTCTCTTCGGGCACAGAAACGGGGGCTGCTGGGAGAAGCTGGGATGAGCGGAGAGAGCAGTGGACATGGGCAGGAGGCGGGGGCTGTGCTAGACCGCTTTGCCTGGAAGGAAGGAGGCTGGACAGACAGACCCCAGCTGCAGAGCCATGGGGGCAAGGATGCTGCTGGGCCTCTGCAGGTTACTTCCCCAGTGCTCGGTCCCTCCCGGCCCCGAATTCTCCCTGGCTGTCACTGGTAGCTGCTGACACCACCCTTTTATCTCACGAAGAAAGATCCCACGGTGAGGCCCAGAGAGGGCAGATGCCCTCAGGGCTCAAGAACTAAGTTCTCAGGGGAGAAAAAGTCACATCAGAGGAACAAGTGTGTGAGAAGCGAGAAGCGCTCATGACCAGCCAGCACTGTTTTTATTTAAGATGGGAGGGAAGCCTGCTTCTGGCGTGACATTAATTAGTCGATTTTATTTAAGATGGGAGGGAGGCCTGCTTCTGGCGTGACATTAATTTGTGTGTCACCTCTTCCAAGAAATGGTCCGGACGTGTATTTACAGGTAACTCTGTGGACGTGGCCGCGGTCAGCGGCTAACGCGTCTCCGTGCTGCCCTCCCTTGGCCTGCGATCCGGGCCCAGCCAGTGGCTGTCACATCCCAAGGCTCCTGGGCACCCGCAACATTCCTGCCACCTCCAGCCGAAGGGCCTGGATGATGGATTTGTTATTGGATCGGCAACACTGACCCGTCTAATGACACGGACTCCCTAGGGAGCCCTTGCTTGGAGTATTTGGTGGAAATTCTGACTCGTGTCCTCAAGGAATTCACCATCTAAGTGCAGAGAAAATACACATCCACACAGACCTGTTAGAGCACAGCAAACATTGGCTTGTGTCTTCCAGCTTCTCCTCCTTAAACAAAGTGATGAATATTATACTTTAAGGACATTACGTTGGGGGTTGTTTTTGAGGTTTCTTTGTTGTTTGTTTTCAGTCCCTGAAGAGAGTATCATTTTTGTGGATGGGGTTCCTTTGACTATGGTTAAAATGACACATCCAGCCTCCTTTCTGTGTTAGTATGACAGGTTCATCAGCTCCTGTCCTGTGTTTCTGTGTTAGGGTGAAGGGTTCATCAGCTCCTGTCCTGCCCTGATCCCGTTGGAGGACAGGAGAAAGCACAAAGGTGGTTAGAGGTTGGGCAGGAAGCCCAGGCCGCAGCTAGCACTGCTCCCACTCACAGGGGACCTGGGACTCAGGTGGAGAAAACTGTCCTGGTAGTAAGTTTGACCTCAAAACTCTGCTCCTATGGTGCCTAAGGAGCATTTCAGCAACCTTAAGGATAGCAGAGGCACTCTGAGCGCTGTCTCAGGCCACCATGAAGTAGATGGGAATCCCTCAGGCGGGCGGTCACCCGTGACAGCCTGGAGCACACAGAAGCCTCGCTTCCCAGCTCTCAAAACGCAGTGTTTCCAAGGTTTCCTAACCCAGGGAAACCGCTGTTGTGAGACCCTGAAAAGACCGAGGAGGAGGGAGACGGGGGCCGTGGGCCACGCTGCTCTGATGCTATCTGTGTCCCCAGGCCTGGATGCTCGGCAGGCGCAGGTCGTGGCCCTGTCCTCGGGGACCAAGTGCATCAGCGGCGAGCACCTCAGTGACCAGGGGCTGGTGGTGAATGACTGCCACGCGGAGGTCGTGGCCCGGCGGGCGTTCCTGCACTTCCTCTACACGCAGCTGGAGCTGCACCTGAGGTGAGCGGCTGGGGACGGGCTCCAGGGAAGGCGGACGCCGCGGCTGGGGGCTGCCAGGGAGCAGATGGGGCCCCATGCCTGGCTCAGAACACGCTTCCCTCTATCCTGGCACAGGGTGAGCCAGAAAGCATCCCTTTTTATTCAGACTAGAGACATCCCTGGCACACCAATAAAGCCGCCGTGTGCGCTGGGAAGATGCTAAAATTCCAGGCTTCCTCCTTACTCCACGTTTCCCTCCAGAAAACACCTTTGCAGCCCTCGTCCTTCCGGGCAAGGCCACCCTCTCCTGGCCTCGGTTCCCCATGCCCCCCACATTCCTGCACTGCCCCCTTTTCCGCCGTTGCCCTCAGAGAACGTGAGTGCAGTGCCCAAGGGGTGGCTTGGAGACGCGCTGTCTTCTTGCCTCCTGTGCCAAGTACATGTGAAGAGGCCGCTGAGGCCTTGAGAACTGTGCCCCAGTATTGGGATTCCCAGGGTTCCCTGGCCTGCTCTGGCCATCAGGCATTGGTGGCTGTCATGGGGCAGCCTCCTGTCCCTGAGACACTTTAGAGAGGAGCAAAACCCAGGTGGTTTGCAGCACGTGGCCTCCGCGACACACCCCCAGGCTGGGCCATTCAGTCCCAAGGGCTCACTGTGGGCTCCTCTCCTGAAACGCTCCCTCCTGTGTCTGCTGTCTACTCTTTCACATCCCTTGAAGCCATCTGCGTTCCTCAAATCTACGAGTAATGGGACCTTGGGGGGCTTTGGCAAGGGTCATCTCCATGCCCATTAGCTGTGCAAAAGCCACACAAAAGGAGAAAGGCCCACGTGTAGCCCTAAGCAGACGCTGCTGAAAACAACACCTTAACACACTCAGCTCATTCTTTTTTTTTGAGATGGAGTCTTGCTCTGTCGCCCAGGCTGGAGTGCAATGGCATTATCTTGGCCCACTGCAACCTCTGCCTCCCGGGTTGAAGCAATTCTCCCACCTCAACCTCCTGAGTAGCTGGGTCTACAGGCGTTCACCACCACGCCTGGCTAATTTTTGTATTTTTAGTAGAGACGGGGTTTCATCACGTTGTCAAACTCCTAACCTCAAGTGGTCACCCTATCTCGGCCTCCCAAAGTGCTGAGATTACAGGCATGAGCCACTGTGCTCAGCCCACACTCAGCTCATTCTTATCTGAGCCTCTGAGCAGGGAGCCACAGGTTGAACCCATCCCTCAGTTCCCTGAGGCCTGCGGGGTGCAGCAGGAGTTGGATATGGGGGAACAGAAATATCTCAGAATGTAGGGAAGGATTTCTCCTAAATGTCCACCTGCTCAACTGGGACTATCACCAAGATCCCTCACTCTTGTTTGTGTCAGAGAAGGCAACTGGACCAATATTTACCAGGAGCTGGTTACATGCTTGGTGCTGTGCCACCAGCTGGGGGGGTCCACAGACAGGTGCACCCGACGCCTGCCCTGCATGGGGAACCAGCACAGGGGAGGGGGAGTCCAGGGCAGCCACGTGGCTGACAGGCCCTGTGCCGGGGCCCAGGCTTGGGATACATTTGCCAAGGGTCCTGGGGGAGGCAGCCGGGGCAGTGGGGGATGGTGGCTGTGGGCAGAGTGCAGGCACAGAGGCAGGAAGACTGCTGGATGCCGCAAGGACTTCCTGTGGAGAAAATGTCTGTTCTGTTGCCTGTGTGATCTCAGGGCCCCACAGAACACAATCCATCACCCATGGGGCAGAACGTGTGAAAACAGCAAGACCGGCAGAAGGTAGATGGCCAGGAAGCAGGGGAGTAAACACCAGGACACAGGGAGTAAACACCGGGAGGCAGAGGGGAGTAAACACCGGGAGGGAGAGGGGAGTAAACACCGGGAGGCAGAGGGGAGTAAACACCGGGAGGCAGAGGGGAGTAAACACCGGGAGGCAGAGGGGAGTAAACACCGGGAGGGAGGGGGGAGTAAACACCGGGAGGCAGAGGGGAGTAAACACCGGGAGGCAGAGGGGGAGTAAACACCGGGAGGGAGAGGGGAGTAAACACCGGGAGGCAGAGGGGAGTAAACACCGGGAGGCAGAGGGGGAGTAAACACCGGGAGGCAGAGGGGAGTAAACACCGGGAGGGAGGGGGGAGTAAACACCGGGAGGCAGAGGGGAGTAAACACCGGGAGGCAGAGGGGAGTGAACACCGGGAGGCAGAGGGGAGTAAACACCGGGAGGCAGAGGGGAGTGAACACCGGGAGGGAGAGGGGAGTGAACACCGGGAGGGAGAGGGGAGTAAACACCGGGAGGGAGAGGGGAGTAAACACCGGGAGGCAGGGGGGAGTAAACACCGGGAGGGAGAGGGGAGTAAACACCGGGAGGCAGAGGGGAGTAAACACCGGGAGGGAGGGGGGAGTAAACACCGGGAGGCAGAGGGGAGTGAACACCGGGAGGGAGGGGGGAGTAAACACCGGGAGGCAGAGGGGAGTAAGCACCGGGAGGCAGAGGGGAGTAAACACCGGGAGGGAGAGGGGAGTAAACACCGGGAGGGAGAGGGGAGTAAACACCGGGAGGCAGAGGGGAGTAAACACCGGGAGGGAGGGGGGAGTAAACACCGGGAGGCAGAGGGGAGTGAACACCGGGAGGCAGAGGGGAGTAAACACCGGGAGGCAGAGGGGAGTGAACACCGGGAGGCAGAGGGGAGTAAACACCGGGAGGCAGAGGGGAGTGAACACCGGGAGGCAGAGGGGAGTAAACACCGGGAGGGAGAGGGGAGTAAACACCGGGAGGCAGGGGGGAGTAAACACCGGGAGGGAGAGGGGGAGTAAACACCGGGAGGCAGAGGGGAGTAAACACCGGGAGGGAGAGGGGAGTAAACACCGGGAGGCAGAGGGGAGTAAACACCGGGAGGGAGAGGGGAGTAAACACCGGGAGGCAGGGGGGAGTAAACACCGGGAGGGAGAGGGAGAGGGGAGTAAACTCCGGGAGGCAGGGGGGAGTAAACACCGGGAGGGAGAGGGGAGTAAACACCGGGAGGGAGAGGGGAGTAAACACCGGGAGGCAGAGGGGAGTAAACACCGGGAGGCAGAGGGGAGTAAACACCGGGAGGCAGAGGGGAGTGAACACCGGGAGGCAGAGGGGAGTAAACACCGGGAGGGAGAGGGGAGTGAACACCGGGAGGCAGAGGGGAGTAAACACCGGGAGGAAGAGGGGAGTAAACACCGGGAGGGAGAGGGGAGTATCGCCAGAGGGAGGGAGAGGGGAGTAAACACCGGGATGCAGGGAGTAAACACCGGGAGGCAGAGGGGAGTAAACACCGGGAGGGAGAGGGGAGTAAACACCGGGAGGCAGGGGGGAGTAAACACCGGGAGGGAGAGGGGAGTAAACACCGGGAGGGAGAGGGGAGTAAACACCGGGAGGCAGAGGGGAGTAAACACCGGGAGGCAGAGGGGAGTAAACACCGGGATGCAGGGAGTAAACACCGGGAGGCAGGGGGGAGTAAACACCGGGAGGGAGAGGGGAGTAAACACCGGGAGACAGAGGGGAGTGAACACCGGGAGGCAGAGGGGAGTAAACACCGGGAGGCAGAGGGGAGTGAACACCGGGAGGGAGAGGGGAGTGAACACCGGGAGGGAGGGGGGAGTGAACACCGGGAGGCAGAGGGGAGTAAACACCGGGAGGGAGAGGGGGAGTGAACACCGGGAGGCAGAGGGGAGTAAACACCGGGAGGAAGAGGGGAGTAAACACCGGGAGGGAGAGGGGAGTAAACACCGGGAGGGAGAGGGGAGTAAACACCGGGATGCAGGGAGTAAACACCGGGAGGCAGAGGGGAGTAAACACCGGGAGGGAGAGGGGAGTAAACACCGGGAGGCAGGGGGGAGTAAACACCGGGAGGGAGAGGGGAGTAAACACCGGGAGGGAGAGGGGAGTAAACACCGGGAGGCAGAGGGGAGTAAACACCGGGAGGCAGAGGGGAGTAAACACCGGGATGCAGGGAGTAAACACCGGGAGGCAGAGGGGAGTAAACACCGGGAGGGAGAGGGGAGTAAACACCGGGAGGGAGGGGGGAGTAAACACCGGGAGGGAGAGGGGAGTAAACACCGGGATGCAGGGAGTAAACACCGGGAGGCAGAGGGGAGTAAACACCGGGAGGGAGAGGGGAGTAAACACCGGGAGGCAGGGGGGGAGTAAACACCGGGAGGCAGAGGGGAGTAAACACCGGGAGGCAGAGGGGAGTAAACACCGGGAGGGAGAGGGGAGTAAACACCGGGAGGGAGAGGGGAGTAAACACCGGGAGGGAGAGGGGAGTAAACACCGGGAGGCAGAGGGGAGTAAACACCGGGAGGGAGAGGGGAGTAAACACCGGGAGGCAGGGGGGAGTAAACACCGGGAGGGAGAGGGGAGTAAACACCGGGAGGGAGAGGGGAGTAAACACCGGGAGGCAGAGGGGAGTGAACACCGGGAGGGAGAGGGGAGTAAACACCGGGAGGCAGGGGGGAGTAAACACCGGGAGGCAGGGGGGAGTAAACACCGGGAGGCAGAGGGGAGTAAACACCGGGAGGGAGATGGGAGTAAACACCGGGAGGCAGGGGGGAGTAAACACCGGGAGGCAGAGGGGAGTAAACACCGGGAGGCAGGGGGGAGTGAACACCGGGAGGCAGAGGGGAGTAAACACCGGGAGGCAGAGGGGAGTAAACACCGGGAGGCAGAGGGGAGTGAACACCGGGAGGCAGAGGGGAGTAAACACCGGGAGGGAGAGGGGAGTAAACACCGGGAGGGAGAGGGGAGTAAACACCGGGAGGCAGAGGGGAGTAAACACCGGGAGGGAGAGGGGAGTAAACACCGGGAGGCAGGGGGGAGTAAACACCGGGAGGGAGAGGGGAGTAAACACCGGGAGGCAGGGGGGAGTAAACACCGGGAGGGCAGAGGGGAGTAAACACCGGGAGGCAGAGGGGAGTAAACACCGGAGGGAGAGGGGAGTTAACACCCGGAGGCAGGGGGGAGTTAACACCCGGAGGGAGAGGGGAGTTAACACCCGGAGGCAGGGGGGAGTTAACAACCGGAGGCAGGGGGGAGTTAACCACCGGAGGCAAGAGGGAATTAACCACCGGAGGCAGAGGGGAGTAAACACCGGGAGGCAGAGGGGAGTGAACACCGGGAGGCAGAGGGGAGTAAACACCGGGAGGCAGAGGGGAGTAAACACCGGGAGGGAGAGGGGAGTAAACACCGGGAGGCAGAGGGGAGTAAACACCGGGAGGCAGGGGGGAGTAAACACCGGGAGGGAGAGGGGAGTAAACACCGGGAGGCAGAGGGGAGTAAACACCGGGAGGGAGAGGGGAGTAAACACCGGGAGGGAGAGGGGAGTAAACACCGGGAGGCAGGGGGGGAGTAAACACCGGGAGGCAGAGGGGAGTAAACACCGGGAGGCAGAGGGGAGTAAACACCGGGAGGGAGAGGGGAGTAAACACCGGGAGGGAGAGGGGAGTAAACACCGGGAGGGAGAGGGGAGTAAACACCGGGAGGCAGAGGGGAGTAAACACCGGGAGGGAGAGGGGAGTAAACACCGGGAGACAGAGGGTAAACACCGAAGAAGGAAATGCAGGCATGTTCGTTCAGCGCCCACTCCGATGGGGCAGAGGTGGGGCTGCTCAGCTCCAGCTTCACAGCTGGTGGGAGTTTTGCAACAGGCAAATCATTCACCATCAGAGAGGCTGGGAACTCTCCCGCCCCACCTGGGTCATGGCTGGAGGCAGGGGGGAGTAAACACCGGGAGGCAGAGGGGGAGTAAACACCGGGAGGCAGAGGGGAGTGAACACCGGGAGGCAGGGGGGAGTGAACACCGGGAGGCAGAGGGGAGTAAACACCGGGAGGGAGAGGGGAGTAAACACCGGGAGGCAGAGGGGAGTAAACACCGGGAGGGAGAGGGGAGTAAACACCGGGAGACAGAGGGTAAACACCGAAGAAGGAAATGCAGGCATGTTCGTTCAGCGCCCACTCCGATGGGGCAGAGGTGGGGCTGCTCAGCTCCAGCTTCACAGCTGGTGGGAGTTTTGCAACAGGCAAATCATTCACCATCAGAGAGGCTGGGAACTCTCCCGCCCCACCTGGGTCATGGCTGGATGCAGAAGGAAAGCCGTTTCGCCACGGTTCTCCACTCCCACCTGTGCTGGTGACGGAGCCCAGGCCTTCCTACAGCTCTTTTCCTCCTTTTAATCACACACAAGCTGCCCACTCAGGCTACGTCAAACCCACAGTCCACTGTGAGGTATGGCCATGAGCAGCACTGGCAAATCCACAGAATCACAGGTGTGTAGACAGATAGATGTGGGCGAACAGCAGTGGGAAAAATTGGCTTGTTAAAAGATCATGGTGGGGCCCAGTGTGGTGGCTCTCGCCTGTAATCCCAGCTCTTTGGGGGGCCCAGGCGGGTGGATCACCTGAAAGCAGGGGAGTAACACCAGGACACAGGGAGTAAACACCGGGAGGCAGAGGGGAGTAAACACCGGGAGGGAGAGGGGAGTAAACACCGGGAGGCAGAGGGGAGTAAACACCGGGAGGCAGAGGGGAGTAAACACCGGGAGGCAGAGGGGAGTAAACACCGGGAGGCAGGGGGGAGTAAACACCGGGAGGGAGAGGGGAGTAAACACCGGGAGGCAGAGGGGAGTAAACACCGGGAGGGAGAGGGGAGTAAACACCGGGAGACAGAGGGTAAACACCGAAGAAGGAAATGCAGGCATGTTCGTTCAGCGCCCACTCCGATGGGGCAGAGGTGGGGCTGCTCAGCTCCAGCTTCACAGCTGGTGGGAGTTTTGCAACAGGCAAATCATTCACCATCAGAGAGGCTGGGAACTCTCCCGCCCCACCTGGGTCATGGCTGGATGCAGAAGGAAAGCCGTTTCGCCACGGTTCTCCACTCCCACCTGTGCTGGTGACGGAGCCCAGGCCTTCCTACAGCTCTTTTCCTCCTTTTAATCACACACAAGCTGCCCACTCAGGCTACGTCAAACCCACAGTCCACTGTGAGGTATGGCCATGAGCAGCACTGGCAAATCCACAGAATCACAGGTGTGTAGACAGATAGATGTGGGCGAACAGCAGTGGGAAAAAATGGCTTGGTAAAAGATCATGGTGGGGCCCAGTGTGGTGGCTCTCGCCTGTAATCCCAGCTCTTTGGGGGGCCAAGGCGGGTGGATCACCTGAAGTCAGGAGTTCAAAACCAGCCTGGCCAACATGGCAAAACCATCTCTACTAAAAATACAAAAATTAGCTGGGTATGGTGGCATGCACCTGTAATCCCAACTACTCAGGAGGCTGAGGCAGGAGAATCGTTTGAACCCAGGAGGCAGAGGTTGCAGTGAGCCAAGATTGCACCACTGCACTGCAGCCTGGGACAAAGCAAGACTCCGTCACAAAAAAAAAAAAAAAAAAAAAAAAAAAAAAAGATCATGGTCGCTCGCACCTGTAATCCCAGCACTTTCGGAGCCTGGGGCAAGTGGATCGCTTGAGCTCAGAAGTTCCAGACCACTCGGGGCAACAAAGCAAGACCCTGTCTCTAAAAAAAAGTAAATAAATTAGCCTCGCATGGTGGTGTGCACCTGTAGTCCCAGCTACTCGGGAGGCTGAGGCAGGAGGATCACTTGAGCCCAGGAAGCTGAGGCTACAGTGAGCCGTGATCACGCTACTGCACTCCAGCATGAGCAGCAACAGAGCAAGACCTTATCTTTAGAAAAGAATAATAATAACCCTGACAGGTAAATGTCAAGGCGGGGGTAAGAAAGCAGGGTTTCTGCCAGTCATGTTCGCATTCACGTAGTTTCATTGCTGCCTGTTCTAGAAGTGTTGGTACAGGGGAAAGACACACTATGGGGTGTGAAGAAGGAGAAACTTGGGGGCCAGGCGCAGCGGCTCACACCTGTAATCCCAGCACTTCGGGAGACTGAGGTGGGTGGATCACCTGAGGCTGGGAGTTCAAGACAAACCTGGCCAACATGGTGAAACCCTGTATCTACTAAAAATACAAAAATGAACTAGGCGTGGTGGCGCATGCCTGTAATCCCAGCTACTCGGGAGGCTGAGTATCACTTGATACTCAAGGCAGAAGAATTGCTTGAACTCAGTGGGTGGAGGTTGCAGTGAGCAAATATGGCACCATTGCACTCCAGCCTGGGTGACAGAACAAGACTCCGTCTCAAAAAAAAAAGGAAAAAAAAAAGGAAAAATATAAAGGAAAACTTGGGGAACAACTCTACAAAACAGGACTCAAGCGTTCACCTGGTTGGAACATTTCTGGTTTGGTTTGTGATAAATGACCCCAAACCTCTTTGTGACCCTAGCAAGCGGCGCGAGGACTCAGAGCGATCGATATTCGTGCGGTTAAAAGAAGGTGGCTACCGGCTGCGAGAGAACATCCTCTTCCATCTCTACGTGAGCACCTCCCCCTGTGGAGACGCAAGACTCCACTCTCCCTACGAGATCACCACAGACCGTAAGAGACCATGCTTTTACCTTCTGTAGGCCAACAGCCCCCAGCTCCCTCTATCTGGGACTCTGTCCTGGGCTTTCACAGCCCAGGGCAGGGGCGCGGTGTGTGGGGCCCTTGGGTACTGGAAGGGGATTGAGTCTACAATTAGTGGGATAACCATGCCTCCAAAATCTTAGTCTGAAATGCTCAAGTGATTGGCAGAAGAGTAGTCTGAGGCCTAAAATTAGCTACCTAATTGCCATAGTTCTCTGCTTTAATAACTCAGACAATCCCTGTGTCCTGGGCTGGGAAAATGGAATGAAGGGAAGGCCAGTGAGAGTTACGCAGGCTGGGAGCAAATTCTCACTGGCTCTGCTTGCCTTTGCTCACAGCGTTGGGGAGGAAAAAAGCTCAGCTTTTGCAACCAAGCCAGGGATGAGTGATTCCCTGCAAAGGGGTTTCCCCAGGTGAACTATAAAGTTCCACTGCAAACCCGCCCTGTGAGCATTTATCGATGGAGGTGAGACAGAACGCATCCACGCAGCCCCTGCCCCTCTGTCCTCTCCATCAGCAAAGGGCAGTGATGCTGCGATTGCCAGGGTCGGAGGGCAGGGCGTGGGGCAGGGTGGGGCTCTCCCTTGAAGCCACCCTTGACATCAGCAACTCCATGATAAAAGAAAAGGTGCTTCAGGGAAACTCCTCTCTTTCATTTTAATGATGAAATCCTATTGCTTAGTGCTATCTGCATATGTCACACACATATATGTATATACCACATACACCACACACACACCACATATACCACACATGTATACCACACACACCACACACATACAACACACACACCACATACACTACACGCATACCACATATACCACACACATACCACATATAGCACATGCATATCACTACACACAAACCACATACACCACACACATACCATATATACCACACACACCACATACCACATACACTACTCATGTCACATACACTACACACATACCACATACACTGCACACACCACATATACCACACACGTCACAAGCACCACATGCATACCACATATACCACACACAGACCACATACACCACACACATCATATACCACAAACACATACCACATATACCACATGCATACCACACACCACACACATAGCACATACACCACACACACATACCACATATACCACACATCACACACAGCACATACCACATACACATGCATAGCATGTACACTACACGCATGCCATATATGCCATACATGCATACCACATACACTGCAAACACACACCACATATACCACACACATGCCACAAGCACATGCATACCACGCATACCACACACACCACACACAGACCACACACACCACACACAGCATATACAACACACATGTATACGACATACACCACGTGCATATCACATACACCGCACACACATTCACATGCTCCCACACCCTTTCCAGAAGCAGCTCCAGGCAGATCTTTCAATGCAGGCAATGCAGTGGTGTATGTGGTGTGTGTGCTATGTGTGCGGTGTGTGTGCGGTGTGTGTGCTATGTGTGTGGTGTGTGTGGTGTATGTGATATGTGTATGATGAGGAGTCCAGTCCTGATGAGGGAGGAAATCTCTGGCAGACATACATGGACAGCACACAGCTATTAAGGCTTGGCTTTGGCCTGACTCTCCTCCGGTGGAAGGCTACATGGTGGTTTAATTACCAAGGTAAGGAAAATTAAGCATTTTTGTTATGCCCTGCTGTTGTCAGGCTTGTCATGCAGCCTCCACCAAAGACAAGAAGGTGTGGGGATAATGGTGTCTTTAATCTCACACGAGCTTAGCCTGATTCTGCAGTCCTCACATGGGATGCTGGCCCAGAAACATTCCTCCTCCTTTTTGCGGACTTCCCTCCAGCCCCACTGCTTTCCCTTTGGGATGGCTGGATACGGTTCTCTGTAAGTGGATCCTCTGGCATGGCTGGATAGGGTTCTCTGTAAGTGAATTTGAATTTGGGTAGTATTTCCACACCCTTTGGAAATTAAATGAGAGAATCCCGTCAAACTGGGAATGAAGAAAAGGAAGCCTGTTCAACCTCAGGGACTTTTAAAGGAACTTCCTGCAGTAGGGAGAGAGAGGCAGGGGCAGCCTGAGTACCTGAGAAGTGGACACAGCCCTCCCCAGAGGGAAGGGAGCCCAGTGTGGCCCCACAAGATCACACAGGGCACCCCCCACTACCAGGCCAACTCAGGAAGAGAGAGACAGAAAAACCACCAGGAGTGGCTTCATTTTCACTGGACATATTCAGCAAGCCAGAGCTACATGATACCAGCTCACCCTATAAAACTGTGAAATCTGGTACACTGCACAGCTATTGGGAATTTTGTGAAATCTGGTCCATTGGACAGCTACTGGGAATTATCTTTCCATTCTTCTTTAAAGGGTTGGCATCGTAAAGACCCAGCTAGGAACCCTCAGAATTGAGAGGAAAAGTCCCGCCAAATGCTTGGGGTTGGTGCTGAGTTATCCAGCCTCTTCCTTGGCTAATATGTCCCTGGTGGGAGTTGGGAGAGGGCTGAGTGAGAACAGCAGGAGCCTTGTCCACGCCTGAGACCCCGTGGTCTCCCCAGGGGACAGTTCTAGTCCACTGGGCCTCCCACATCTCTGTACATCGATCACCAACTGCAGCCTCTCCAGCCAGCCCTCACTTTCTACTGCAATGTCTGTGCTTTAGAAAAACAAATACGTTCTCCGAGGCACCCTGAGGTTCACTTCCAGACACAGATGTCTTTTATTTCATGGTGCTTTTAAGAAGTGGCAGGTGCTGGTAGGAGAAAAAATAAAGCATTTTTCTCACATTTTTGCAGCAGATATGCCAGGCAAAATTGAGAAACTCCTGCCTGTGCTGTGCCTCTGCATTGGGCTGGTGCCACTCCTCCGCTCTCCCATCTGGAGAGCGTGGAGAAGGAAGGTACTTGGTGAACTCTCCTATAACAGGGACTCATCTGCCAAAGTCACTCAGTAAAGGCAGGAGAACTCAAGTTCCTGCTGTTCTCTGCTTGGAAGGACCCTTCAGAGAGCTGGCTCTGCATCCTTTGAACTGCCTGAGGAAGGCAGAGACCTTCAGGAACAACTCCTGCCATTTCCCCTGCAGAGAGATGCTTTAAGCTCCTTTACAATAAGAGGCAGGGGTCTCCACGTTGCTAACTCAGGCGGTGTATGTCTTTGTTACCCTTTAAAGAGGGTTGGACCATGGATAAGGGGATGCCAGTGGCCAGGCTTTTGCTGTGAGGGGCTCCTCCAGGGCTAGCCAAGGGCAGTGTCGATGGTGACAAGCCCCCAAAGGAAAGGCTGGCGGCGGGAGCTGGACACATCCAGTTTGCACTGTTCCCAGAGGTCTGCAGCTGGCACTGCCTCCCTCCTATGGATTAACCCTGCAGAAACCCAGCGGCACTGCCCCTCCAATTCAGAGGACCACATTCCCAAAAGAAGCCCAGGGAACAAAGGAAGCCCTGAGGGCCATGATGTTATTCTCACAAATGCAGAGGCCGCAGAGTGCAGAGAGCTCAGTCCCCTCCACCGAGACCTTTGCTGGGGGCCAGAGGAGCTCATCTGAAACCGAAGGAGACTCTGCACAGAGGTTTCAGTCTTCTCGAGTGCTCTCTGCCTCTGGCCCCTTCTGGACCTGCCATGTCTCCTCTCACCAGCACAGTGCTTGGTCCTGGTCACTTGAGCTCATCCCTTCCTCAGTCTCCCCTTTGGCCTGCATCGAGCGATTGTGCATCTCCACAGTGGCCACGCCTGCTAGCCCCTCTCTCAACTGTGCCAGACTTCTCCCTTTCTCACACATA
This sequence comes from Homo sapiens, assembly GCF_000001405.40. Lineage (NCBI taxonomy): Eukaryota > Metazoa > Chordata > Mammalia > Primates > Hominidae > Homo > Homo sapiens. Next base: position 1,229,874 of record NC_000010.11, on the reverse strand, counting down.
TATACCCACACACACACACACACACACACGTAAGCACATGTGCACAAAAACATACATAAGTACATGTACACGCACACACATAAACACATGTACACAGAAGCACATATGTGCACACATGTAATCACGTGCACATACAAACAAGCACAAGTGCACACATGAACACGCATACATAAGCACATGTGCACACACAAACACATACATAAGCATATGTGCACACACAAGCACACGACACGTATCTGATGCATCAGATCTATCAATATAACTATGACGTGATTAAGTCAAAAAGAAGTTTGGTGCCCAAGATTGTTCCCCCTTCTTTTAAAAATGAAGGAACACAGAGTAGGGCATAAGAAAAAATTTCTGTAGATAGGTTTAAATAATCATGATAGTAAGTATCATGTAAAGGCCCAGGAGAGAAGTGAGTCTGACTTGGGGTTTCTAGGAGCACACTTCTGACTCTCTGGTGGCTGCTGAGCAGCTGGCTCCCGGCAGCAACCTGCTCCAACAGCTCAGCAGGACCAGGAATTCCCCAAGCCCCAGCCACCCGAGGCCCAGGCTCAGGGGCTCCAAGTCTTAGACACAACACAAGGGCCCTGGGGTTGCCATCCAGCCCCACTTTCCTGGGATGCATGTGGCTCGAGAAATTCTAGATGGCCCTATTTTATTTTTCCCCTCAAAAACATTTGTCTAGATCATAAATTCCCCATTCCTGGAGGCCTCAGACATGGTATCAATGCCAATTGGTCTCAGGTATTTTGGGAGCTGTGTCACCTGCTAGCTTCGGAAGGCATTCAAGTTTGTTGTTTCCAGCTCTGGCTTATCTATCAGGGTCCCAGGCCAGTGTTTACCAATGCAGCTCACCCCATGCACTCTGGCCGAGATTCTGATGCATTCGGGGCAGAGGGGCATCCAAGACTCTAGTTTTCTGAGCACAGGTCGGGTTTTGAGCCAGCAGGTTTGAACTCCTTAAATCATCTCTTCAGACTGGGCATTTGTTTCCTTGCTGGCTTTGTAGAAAGGGCTTGGAGGCATGGACGGCCTGGTAGCCTGCCTGTCTGCAGAGGCCAGGCAGAGCTTATGGCTGGACTCCCCGCTCTGTGGCATCACAGGCAGGAATGAAAAGTGTTCGTGGTGCATCGCATGCGACCGAGGGGAAAGCTGCTTTCGCGACAGAGACCGCAGACTCAGTCTTCAATGTCATGTGACCCAGGGCTACTCCATTCATCTCAAGCGACTCAAAACTGCCACATCTGTGGCTTTCCCCTGGACCTAGAGGGGCCAGGTCAGTTAAGGCAGGGACAAATGCCTGAAAGACATTTATTCCCACACCAGGAGAACATGCTGTGTGTGTCTATGTTAGAGTCAGGGTTCCAATGACTGCTGTCAGCACAGACTCACGAGGGCGACGGGTCCTTTAGTGGCCCTGGGAGGCCTGGGATAGAACTCAGGCAGTTCTGAAAGAGCCCAGATGGAGCAGAAGATGAGGATCTCTGTACTTCACTGTGGTTGAGCAGCTCCTCTCCTCCCAACCCACCAACGACCTGCCTGCAAATTCTTCTTTCTTGGCATGGTTTTTAAATAACCTGGTAAACTCAGTTCTTACAGCCATTTTCTGAGAACTTAGCAGCTTAAATTCTCCAGTCTGTGTCCAGAAAATGCCAAGAAAAATAGATGATGTCATATATTTACCTACAAGTACATGCTATGAGCCTAGTACGTTTGTTCTAAGCCAATTCCATTCAACGACTAGAAAGGTAGTTGAAGAGATTTAACGAAAATCCCATAGGAAGTCAGGGAATATAAAATACAGTTCCTTAAATTCCTGCTTCAGATTTTCCCATTGAGTTACAGAAATATGCAAAATATGATAATATCCGTGCATTGCAGGATAATGAATTTTAATGGCCTTATAATCCAGCATCATCACTATCATCATCATCATCAATCAAATATGGCAAAGTGCACCCACGTGGACACATGGTAACTTCTGTGGATATTATTATTACAATGAATACTAGGTTGCTTCACAGGCAGACTTTCTGGGATATGCCTTTTGAAGACAGTTTGAAAATCTAAAATTTATTTGGTGTTTAAAAATATTTTCTTCTTTTCTCATGCCTGTGGTTTGTTTCATTTTTGGTGCTCTCTCTCCCCCTTGTGATGGTAGCAACCATGCATCGCTTTTTAGATAAATCTTTAGCTCCCCAGGGGACAAACCTCTTGTTGTTTGTCTCCAATTCCTTTTGATTCTCCCCTAAAAATAAAAGATTCACTTGAACAATTTTCTAAAGCACATCCTCATTTAGAAATGAGGATCTAGGGGGAGGAGCCAAGATGGCCGAATAGGAACAGCTCCGGTCTACAGCTCCCAGCGTGAGCGACGCAGAAGACAGGTGATTTCTGCATTTCCAACTGAGGTACCGGGTTCATCTCACTGGGGAGTGCCAGACAGTAGGTGCAGGACACTGGGTGCAGTGCACCGTGCTTGAGCTGAAACAGGGCGAGGCATCGCCTCACCCGGGAAGCGCAAGGGGTCATGGAATTCCCTTTCCTAGTCAAAGAAAGGGGTGACAGACAGCACCTGGAAAATCGGGTCACTCCCACCCTAATTCTGCACTTTTCCAACAGGCTTAAAAAATGGCATACCAGGAGATTATATTCCACACCTGGCTCGGAGGGTCCTACACCCACGGAGTCTCGCTGATTGCTAGCACAGCAGTCCAGATCAAACTGCAAGGCGGCAGTGAGGCTGGGGGAGGGGCGCCCGCCATTGCCGAGTTAGTTGTTTGATTAGATAAACAAAGCAGCCTGGAAGCTCAAACTGGGTGGAGCCCACCACAGCTTAAGGAGGCCTGCCTGCCTCTATAGGCTCCACCTCTGGGGGCAGGGAACAGACAAACAAAAAGACAGCAGTAACCTCTGCAGACTTAAATGTCCCTCTCTGACAGCTTTGAAGAGAGTAGTGGTTCTCCCATCATGCAGCTTGAGAGCTGAGATCGGGTGGACTGCCTCCACCTGACCCCCGAGTAGCCTAACTGGGAGGCACCCCCCCAATAGAGGCAGACTGACACCTCACACAGCCGGGTACTCCTCTAAGACAAAACTTCCAGAGGAACGATCAGGCAGAAGCATCTGCGGTTCACCAATATCTGCTGTTCTACAGCCACCGCTGCAGATACCCAGGCAAACAGGGTCTGGAGTGGACCTCTAACAAACTCCAACAGACCTGCAGCTGAGGGTCCTGACTGTTAGAAGGAAAACTAACAAACAGAAAGGACATCCACACCAAAAACCCATCTGTACATCACCATCATCAAAGACCAAAGGTAGATAAAAGTACAAAGATGGGGAAGAAAACAGAGCAGAAAAACTGGAAACTCTAAAAATCAGAGCACCTCTCCTCCTCCAAAGGAATGGAGTGCCTCACCAGCAATGGAACAAAGCTGGATGGAGAATGACTTTGATGAGTTCAGAGAAGAAGGCTTCAGACGATCAAACTACTCTGAGCTACAGGAGGAAATTCGAACCAATGGCAAAGAAGTTAAAAGTTTTGAAAAAAAATTAGATGAATGGATAACTGAATAACCAATGCAGAGAAGTCCTTAAAGGACCTGATGGAGCTGAAAATCAAGGCACGAGAGCTACATGACAAATGCAGAAGCCTCAGTAGCCAATGCGATCAACTGGAAGAAAGGGTATCAGTGATGGAAGATCAAATGAATGAAATGAATCAAGAAGAGAAGTTTAGAGAAAAAAGAATAAAAAGAAATGAAGAAAGCCTCCAAGAAATATGGGACTATGTGGAAAGACCAAATCTACGTCTGATTGGTGTACCTGAAAGTGATGGGGAGAATGGAACCAAGTTGGAAAACACTCTGCAGGATATTATCCAGGAGAACTTCCCCAATCTAGCAAAGCAGGCCAACATTCATATTCAGGAAATACAGAGAACGCCACAAAGATACTCCTCGAGAAGAGCAGCTCCAAGACACATAATTGTCAGATTCACCAAAGTTGAAATGAAGGAAAAAATGTTAAGGGCAGCCAGAGAGAAAGGTCGGGTTACCCACAAAGGGACCCCATCAGACTAACAGCTGATCTCTCGGCAGAAACTCTACAAGCCAGAAGAGAGTGGGGACCAACATTCGACATTCTTAAAGAAAAGAATTTTAACCCAGAATTTCATATCCAGCCAAACTAAGCTTCATAAGTGAAGGAGAAATAAAATACTTTACAGACAAGCAAATGCTGAGAGATTTTGTCACCACCAGGCCTGCCCTACAAGAACTCCTGAAGGAAGCACTAAACATGGAAAGGAACAACCGGTACCAGCCACTGCAAAAACATGCCAAATTGTAAACACCATCAAGGCTAGGAAGAAACTGCATCAACTAATGAGCAAAATAACCAGCTAACATCATAATGACAGGATCAAATTCACACATAACAATACTAACCTTAAATGTAAATGGGCTAAATGCTCCAATTAAAAGGCACAGACTGGCAAATTGGAAAAAGAGTCAAGACCCATCAGTGTGCTGTATTCAGGAAACCCATCTCAGCTGCAGAGACACACATAGGCTCAAAGGGATGGAGGAAGATCTACCAAGCAAATGGAAAACAAAAAAAGGCAGGGGTTGCAATCCTAGTCTCTAATAAAACAGCCTTTAAACCAACGAAGATCAAAAGAGACAAAGAAGGCCATTACATAATGGTAAAGGGATCAATTCAACAAGAAGAGCTAACTATCCTAAATATATATGCACCCAATACAGGAGCACCCAGATTCATAAAGCAAGTCCTTAGAGACCTACAAAGACACTTAGACTCCCACACAATAATAATGGGAGACTTTAACACCCCACTGTCAAAATTAGACAGATCAACAAGACAGAAAGTTAACAAGGATACCCAGGAATTAAACTCAGCTCTGCACCAAGTGGACCTAATAGACATCTACAGAACTCTCCACCCCAAATCAACAGAATATACATTTTTTTCAGCACCACACCACACCTACTCCAAAACTGACCACATAATTGGAAGTAAAGCTCTCCTCAGCAAATGTAAAAGAACCGAAATTATAACAAACTGTCTCTCAGACCACAGTGCAATCAAACTAGAAAGAAACTCACTCAAAACCACTCAACTACGTGGAAACTGAACAACCTGCTCCTGAATGACTACTGGGTACATAATGAAATGAAGGCAGAAATAAAGATGTTCTTTGAAACCAATAAGAACAAAGACACAACATACCAGAATCTCTGGGACACATTCGAAGCAGTGTGTAGAGGGAAATTTATAGCACTAAATGCCCACAAGAGAAAGCAGGAAAGATCCAAAATTGACACCCTAACATCACAATTAAAAGAACTAGAAAAGCAAGAGCAAACACATTCAAAAGCTAGCAGAAGGCAAGAAATAACTAAAATCAGAGCAGAACTGAAGGAAATAGAGACACAAAAAACCCTTCAAAAAATTAATGAATCCAGGAGCTGTTTTTTTGAAAAGATCAACAAAATGTGATAGACCACTAGCAAGACTAATAAAGAAGAAAAGAGAGAAGAATCAAAGAGATGCAATAAAAAATGATAAAGGGGATATCACCACCGATCCCACAGAAATACAAACTACCATCAGAGAATACTACAAACACCTCTATGCAAATAAACTAGAAAATCTAGAAGAAATGGATAAATTCCTCGACACATACATCCTCCCAAGACTAAACAAGGAAGAAGCTGAATCTCTGAATATACCAATAACAGGCTCTGAAATTGAGGCAATGATCAACAGCTTACCAACCAAAAAAAGTCCAGGACCAGATGGGGTTCACAGCCGAATTCTACCAGAGGTACAAAGAGGAGCTGGTACCATTCCTTCTGAAACTATTCCAATCAATAGAAAAAGAGGGAATCCTCCCTAACGCATTTTACGAGGCCAGCATCATCCTGAAACCAAAGCCTGGCAGAGACACAACCAAAAAAGAGAATTTTAGACCAATATCCTTGATGAGCATTGATGCAAAAATTCTCAATAAAATACGGGCAAAACGAATCCAGCAGCACATCAAAAAGCTCATCCACCATGATCAAGTGGGCTTCATCCCTGGGATGCAAGGCTGGTTCAACATACGAAAATCAATAAACGTAATCCAGCATATAAACAGAGCCAAAGACAAAAACCACATGATTATCTCAATAGATGCAGAAAAGGCCTTTGACAAAATTCAACAACCCTTCATGGTAAAAACTCTCAATAAATTAGGTATTGATGGGACGTATCTGAAAATAATAAGAGCTATCTATGACAAACCCACAGCCAATATCATACTGAATGGGCAAAAACTGGAAGCATTCCCTTTGAAAACTGGCACAAGACAGTGAGAGGGATGCCCTCTCTCACCACTCCTATTCAACATAGTGTTGGAAGTTCTGGCCAGGGCAATCAGGCAGGAGAAGGAAATAAAGGTTATTCAATTAGAAAAAGAGGAAGTCAAATTGTCCCTGTTTGCAGATGACATGACTGTATATCTAGAAAACCCCATCGTCTCAGCCCAAAATTCCCTCAAGCTGATAAGCAACTTCAGCAAAGTCTCAGGATACAAAATCAATGTACAAAAATCACAAGCATTCTTATACACCAATAACAGACAAACAGAGAGCCAAATCATGAGTGAACTCCCATTCACAATTGCTTCAAAGAGAATAAAATACCTAGGAATCCAACTTACAAGGGATGTGAAGGACCTCTTCAAGGAGAACTACAAACCACAGCTCAATGAAATAAAAGAGGACACAAACAAATCGAAGAACAATACATGCTCATGGGCAGGAAGAATCAATATCGTGAAAAAGGCCATATTGCCCAAGGTAATTTATAGACTCAATACCATCCCCATCAAGCTACCAATGACTTTCTTCACAGAATTGGAAAAAACTACTTTAAAGTTCATATGGAACCAAAAAAGAGCCCACATCACCAAGTCAATCCTAAGCCAAAAGAACAAAGCTGGAGGCATCATGCTACCTGACTTCAAACTATACTACAAGGCTACAGTAACCAAAACAGCATGGTACTGGTACCAAAACAGAGATATAGACCAATGGAACAGAACAGAGCCCTCAGAAATAATGCCGCATATCTACAACCATCTGATCTTTGACAAACCTGACAAAAACAAGCAATGGGGAAAGGATTCCCTATTTAATAAATGGTGCTGGGAAAACTGGCTAGCCATATGTAGAAAGCTGAAACTGGATCCCTTCCTTACACTTTATACAAAAATTAATTCAAGATGGATTAAAGACTTACATGTTAGACCTAAAACCATAAAAACCCTAGAAGAAAATCTAGGCAATACCATTCAGGACATTGGCATGGGCAAGGACTTCATGTCTAAAACACCAAAAGCAATGGCAACAAAAGCCAAGATTGACAAATGGGATCTAATTAAACTAAAGAGCTTCTGCACAGCAAAAGAAACTAACATCAGAGTGAACAGGCAAACTACAAAATGGGAGAAAATTTTTTGCAACCTACTCATCTGACAAAGGGCTAATATCCAGAATCTACAATGAACTCAAACAAATTTACAAGAAAAAAACAACCCCATTCAAAAAGTGGGCGAAGGATATGAACAAACACTTCTCAAAAAAAGACATTTATGCAGCCAAAAGACACATGAAAAAATGCTCATCATCACTGGCCATCAGAGAAATGCAAATCAAAGCCACAATGAGATACCATC